>NC_000020.11:28180974-28256267 GCF_000001405.40 Homo sapiens | reverse complement strand
TCTGTCTAGTTTTTACGGGAAGATATTTCCTTTATCACCATACGCCTGAAAGCGCTCCAAATGTCCTCATCCAGATACTACAAAAAGAGGGTTTCAAACCTACTCTATGAAAGGGAATGCTCAAATCTGTGACTTGAATGCAGACATCACAAAGAAGTTTCTGAGAATGCTGCTGTCTCCTTTTTATATGTAATCCCTTTTCCAATGAAATCCTCAAAGCTAGCCAAATATCCACTTGCAGATTCCACGAAAACAGTGTTTCAAAACTGCTCCTTCAAAACGATGGTTCAATTCTGTTAGTTGAGCAAACACATCACAAGTAAGTTTCTGAGAATGCTTCCGTCTAGTTTTTATGGGAAGATATTTCCTTTTTCAACATAGGCCTGAAAGCGCTCCAATTGTCCACTTCCAGATACTACAAAAAGAGTGTTTCAAATCTGCTCTATGAATGGGAATGTTCTACTCTGTGACTTGCATGCAACATCCCAAAGAAGTTTCTGAGAATGCTTCTGTCTAGAGTTTATCTGAAGACATACCCGTTTCCAACGAAATCCTCAAAGCTATCCAAATATCCTCTTGCAGATTCTACAAAAAGAGTGTTTCAAAGCTGCTCTTTGCAAAGAAAGGTTCAACTCTGTCAGTAGAGGGCACACATCACGAACAAGTTTCTGAGAATGCTTCTGTCTAGTTTTTATGGGAAGATATTTCCTTTTTCACGTTAGGCCTGAAAGCACGCGAAATGTTCACTTATACACACTACAAAAAGAGTGTTTCAAACCTGCTCTGTGAAAGGGAATGTTCAACACTGTGACTTCAATTGAAATATCCCAAAGAAGTTTCTGAGAATGCTTCTGTCTAGAGTTTATCTGAAGACATTCCCGTTTCCCAAGAAATCTTCAAAGCTATCCAAATATCCTCTTGCAGATTCTACAAAAAGAGTGTTTCAAAACTGCTCTTTGCAAAGAAAGGTTCAACTCTGTCAGTAGAGGGCACACATCACAAACAAGTTTCTGAGAATGCTTCTGTCTAGTTTTTATGGGAAGATATTTCCTTTTTCACCTTAGGCCTGAAAGCAATCCAAATGTTCACTTACAGACACTACAAAAAGAGTGTTTCAAACCTGCTCTGTGAAAGGGAGTGTTCAGTTCTGTGACTTGAATGCAAACATCACAAAGTAGTTTCTGACAATGCTGCTGTCTGCTTTTTATACGTATTCCCGTTTCCAACGAAATCCTCCAAGCTGGCCTAATACCCACTTGCATATTCCACAAAAAGAGTGTTTCAAAACTGCTCTCTCAAAAGAAAGGTTCAACTCTGTTTGCTGAGTAGATACATCATGAAAAAAGTTCTGACATTGCTTCTATCTAGTTTTTATTGGAAGATATCTCCTTTTTCACCGTAGACCTGAAAGCGCTCCAAATGTCCACTTCCAGATAGTACAAAAAGAGTGTTTCAAACCTGCTCTATGAATGGGAATGTTCAACACTGGGACTTCAATTGAAACATCCCAAAGCAGTTTCTGAGAATGCTTCTGTCTAGAGTTTACATGAAGACATTCCCGTTTCCAACGAAATCCTCAAAGCTATCCAAATATCCTCTTGCAGATTTTACAAAAAGTGTGTTTCAGAACTGCTCTATCAAAACAAAGGTTCAACACTGTCAGTTGAGGGCACACATCACAAATAAGTTTCTGAGAATGCTGCTGTCTGCTTTTTGTATGTAATCCCGTTTCCAACGAAATCCTCCCAGCTAGCCAAATATCCACTTGCAGATTCCGCAAAAAGAGTGTTTCAAAACTGCTCCTTCAAAACGATGGTTTAGTTCTGTTAGTTGAGTACATACATCACAGATAAGTTTCTGAGAATGCTTCTGTCTAGTTTTTATGGGAGGATATTTCCTTTTTCAACACAAGCCTGAATGCGCTCTGAATGGACACTTCCAGATATGACAAAAGGCGTGTTTCAAACCTGCTCTCTCAAAGGGAATGTTCAACTTCTGTGACTTCAATGCAAACATCACAAAGAAGTTTCTGAGAATGCTGCTGTCTGCTTTTTACATGTATTCCCGTTTCCAACGATATCCTCAAAGCTGCCCTAATATCCACTTGCATATTCCACAAAAAGAGTGTTGCAAAACTGCTCTCTCAAAAGAAAGGTTCAACTCTGTTAGCTGAGTAGATCCATCACATAAAAGTTTCTGACGTTGCTTCTATCTAGATTTTATTGGAAGATATTTCCATTTTCACCGTCGTCCTGAAAGCGCTCCAAATGTCCACTTCCAGGGAATGCAGAAAGAGTGTTTCCAACCTGCTCTATAAAAGGGAATGTTCAACACTGGGACTTCAATCGAAACATCCCAACGAAGTTTCTGAGAATGCTTCTGTCTAGAGTTTATATGAAGCCATTCCGTTTGCAACGAAATCCTCAAAGCTATCCAAATATCCTCTTGCAGATTTTACAAAAAGAGTGTTTCAAAACTGCTCTATCAAAAGAAAGGTTCAACTCTGTTAGTTGAGGGCACACATCAGAAATAAACTTCTGAGAATGCTTCTGTCTAGTTTTTACGGGAAGATATTTCCTTTTTCACCATACGCCTGAAAGCGCTCCAAATGTCCTCATCCAGATACTACAAAAAGAGTGTTTCAAACCTGCTCTATGAAAGGGAATGTTCAACACTGGGACTTCAATTGAAACATCCCAAAGCAGTTTCTGAGAATGCTTCTGTCTAGAGTTTACATGAAGACATTACCGTTTCCAACGAAATCCTCAAAGCTATCCAAATATCCTCTTGCAGATTTTACAAAAAGTGTGTTTCAGAACTGCTCTATCAAAACAAAGGTTCAACACTGTCAGTTGAGGGCACACATCACAAATAAGTTTCTGAGAATGCTGCTGTCTGCTTTTTGTATGTAATCCCGTTTCCAACGAAATCCTCCCAGCTAGCCAAATATCCACTTGCAGATTCCGCAAAAAGAGTGTTTCAAAACTGCTCCTTCAAAACGATGGTTTAGTTCTGTTAGTTGAGTACATACATCACAGATAAGTTTCTGAGAATGCTTCTGTCTAGTTTTTATGGGAGGATATTTCCTTTTTCAACACAAGCCTGAATGCGCTCCGAATGGACACTTCCAGATATGACAAAAGGCGTGTTTCAAACCTGCTCTCTCAAAGGGAATGTTCAACTCTGTGACTTCAATGCAAACATCACAAAGAAGTTTCTGAGAATGCTGCTGTCTGCTTTTTACATGTATTCCCGTTTCCAACGAAATCCTCAAAGCTGCCCTAATATCCACTTGCATATTCCACAAAAAGAGTGTTGCAAAACTGCTCTCTCAAAAGAAAGGTTCAACTCTGTTAGCTGAGTAGATCCATCACATAAAAGTTTCTGACGTTGCTTCTATCTAGATTTTCTTGGAAGATATTTCCATTTTCACCGTCGTCCAGAAAGCGCTCCAAATGTCCACTTCCAGGGAATGCAGAAAGAGTGTTTCCAACCTGCTCTATAAAAGGGAATGTTCAACACTGGGACTTCAATCGAAACATCCCAACGAAGTTTCTGAGAATGCTTCTGTCTAGAGTTTATATGAAGCCATTCCCGTTTGCAACGAAATCCTCAAAGCTATCCAAATATCCTCTTGCAGATTTTACAAAATGAGTGTTTCAAAACTGCTCTATCAAAAGAAAGGTTCAAGTCTGTTAGTTGAGGGCACACATCACAAATAAACTTCTGAGAATGCTTCTGTCTAGTTTTTACGGGAAGATATTTCCTTTTTCACCATAGGCCTGAAAGCGCTCCAAATGTCCTCATCCAGATACTACAAAAAGAGTGTTTCCAACCTGCTCTATGAAAGGGAATGCTCAACTCTGTGACTTGAATGCAGACATCACAAAGAAGTTTCTGAGAATGCTGCTGTCTCCTTTTTATATGTAATCCCGTTTCCAACGAAATCCTCAAAGCTAGCCAAATATCCACTTGCAGATTCCACGAAAACAGTGTTTCAAAACTGCTCCTTCAAAACGATGGTTCAATCCTGTTAGTTGAGCAAACACATCACAAATAAGTTTCTGAGAATGCTTCCGTCTAGTTTTTATGGGAAGATATTTCCTTTTTCAACATAGGCCTGAAAGCGCTCCAAATGTCCACTTCCAGATACTACAAAAAGAGTGTTTCAAATCTGCTCTATGAATGGGAATGTTCTACTCTGTGACTTGAATGCAACATCCCAAAGAAGTTTCTGAGAATGCTTCTGTCTAGAGTTTATCTGAAGACATACCCGTTTCCAACGAAATCCTCAAAGCTATCCAAATATCCTCTTGCAGATTCTACACAAAGAGTGTTTCAAAGCTGCTCTTTGCAAAGAAAGGTTCAACTCTGTCAGTAGAGGGCACACATCACGAACAAGTTTCTGAGAATGCTTCTGTCTAGTTTTTATGGGAAGATATTTCCTTTTTCACGTTAGGCCTGAAAGCACGCCAAATGTTCACTTATAGACACTACAAAAAGAGTGTTTCAAACCTGCTCTGTGAAAGGGAATGTTCAACACTGTGACTTCAATTGAAACATCCCAAAGAAGTTTCTGAGAATGCTTCTGTCTAGAGTTTATCTGAAGACATTCCCGTTTCCCAAGAAATCTTCAAAGCTATCCAAATATCCTCTTGCAGATTCTACAAAAAGAGTGTTTCAAAACTGCTCTTTGCAAAGAAAGGTTCAACTCCTGTCAGTAGAGGGCACACATCACAAACAAGTTTCTGAGAATGCTTCTGTCTAGTTTTTATGGGAAGATATTTCCTTTTTCACCTTAGGCCTGAAAGCAATCCAAATGTACACTTACAGACACTACAAAAAGAGTGTTTCAAACCTGCTCTGTGAAAGGGAGTGTTCAATTCTGTGACTTGAATGCAAACATCACAAAGTAGTTTCTGACAATGCTGCTGTCTGCTTTTTATACGTATTCCCGTTTCCAACGAAATCCTCCAAGCTGGCCTAATACCCACTTGCATATTCCACAAAAAGAGTGTTTCAAAACTGCTCTCTCAAAAGAAAGGTTCAACTCTGTTTGCTGAGTAGATACATCATGAAAAAAGTTCTGACATTGCTTCTATCTAGTTTTTATTGGAAGATATCTCCTTTTTCACCGTAGACCTGAAAGCGCTCCAAATGTCCACTTCCAGATAGTACAAAAAGAGTGTTTCAAACCTGCTCTATGAATGGGAATGTTCAACACTGGGACTTCAATTGAAACATCCCAAAGCAGTTTCTGAGAATGCTTCTGTCTAGAGTTTACATGAAGACATTCCCGTTTCCAACGAAATCCTCAAAGCTATCCAAATATCCTCTTGCAGATTTCACAAAAAGTGTCTTTCAGAACTGCTCTATCAAAACAAAGGTTCAACACTGTCAGTTGAGGGCACACATCACAAATAAGTTTCTGAGAATGCTTCTGTCTAGTTTTCATGGGAAGATATTTCCTTTTTCACCATAGGCCTGAAAGCGATCCAAATGTCCACATCCAGATACTACAAAAAGAGTGTTTCAAACCTGCTCTATGAAAGGGAATGTTCAACTCTGTGACTTGAATGCAAACATCACAAAGAAGTTTCTGAGAATGCTGCTGTCTCCTTTTTATATGTAATCCCGTTTCCAACGAAATCCTCAAAGCTAGCCAAATATCCACTTGCAGATTCCACGAAAACAGTGTTTCAAAACTGCTCCTTCAAAACGATGGTTCAATTCTGTTAGTTGAGCAAACACATCACAAGTAAGTTTCTGAGAATGCTTCCGTCTAGTTTTTATGGGAAGATATTTCCTTTTTCAACATAGGCCTGAAAGCGCTCCAAATGTCCACTTCCAGATACTACAAAAAGAGTGTTTCAAATCTGCTCTATGAATGGGAATGTTCTACTCTGTGACTTGAATGCAACATCCCAAAGAAGTTTCTGAGAATGCTTCTGTCTAGAGTTTATCTGAAGACATACCCGTTTCCAACGAAATCCTCCAAGCTATCCAAATATCCTCTTGCAGATCCTACAAAAAGAGTGTTTCAAAGCTGCTCTTTGCAAAGAAAGGTTCAACTCTGTCAGTAGAGGGGACACATCAAGAACAAGTTTCTGAGAATGCTTCTGTCTAGTTTTTATGGGAAGATATTTCCTTTTTCACGTTACGCCTGAAAGCACGCCAAATGTTCACTTATAGACACTACAAAAAGAGTGTTTCAAACCTGCTCTGTGAAAGGGAATGTTCAACACTGACTTCAATTGAAACATCCCAAAGAAGTTTCTGAGAATGCTTCTGTCTAGAGTTTATCTGAAGACATTCCCGTTTCCCAAGAAATCCTCAAAGCTATCCAAATATCCTCTTGCAGATTCTACAAAAAGAGTGTTTCAAAACTGCTCTTTGCAAAGAAAGTTTCAACTCTGTCAGTAGAGGGCACACATCACAAACAAGTTTCTGAGAATGCTTCTGTCTAGTTTTTATGGGAAGATATTTCCTTTTTCACCTTAGGCCTGAAAGCAATCCAAATGTTCACTTACAGACACTACAAAAAGAGTGTTTCAAACCTGCCCTGTGAAAGGGAGTGTTCAATTCTGTGACTTGAATGCAAACATCACAAAGTAGTTTCTGACAATGCTGCTGTCTGCTTTTTATACGTATTCCCGTTTCCAACGAAATCCTCCAAGCTGGCCTAATACCCACTTGCATATTCCACAAAAAGAGTGTTTCAAAACTGCTCTCTCAAAAGAAAGGTTCAACTCTGTGTGCTGAGTAGATACATCATGAAAAAAGTTCTGACATTGCTTCTATCTAGTTTTTATTGGAAGATATCTCCTTTTTCACCGTAGACCTGAAAGCGCTCCAAATGTCCACTTCCAGATAGTACAAAAAGAGTGTTTCAAACCTGCTCTATGAATGGGAATGTTCAACACTGGGACTTCAATTGAAACATCCCAAAGCAGTTTCTGAGAATGCTTCTGTCTAGAGTTTACATGAAGACATTCCCGTTTCCAACGAAATCCTCAAAGCTATCCAAATATCCTCTTGCAGATTTTACAAAAAGTGTGTTTCAGAACTGCTCTATCAAAACAAAGGTTCAACACTGTCAGTTGAGGGCACACATCACAAATAAGTTTCTGAGAATGCTTCTGTCTAGTTTTCATGGGAAGATATTTCCTTTTTCACCATAGGCCTGAAAGCGATCCAAATGTCCACATCCAGATACTACAAAAAGAGTGTTTCAAACCTGCTCTATGAAAGGGAATGTTCAACTCTGTGACTTGAATGCAAACATCACAAAGAAGTTTCTGAGAATGCTGCTGTCTCCTTTTTATATGTAATCCCGTTTCCAACGAAATCCTCAAAGCTAGCCAAATATCCACTTGCAGATTCCACGAAAACAGTGTTTCAAAACTGCTCCTTCAAAACGATGGTTCAATCCTGTTAGTTGAGCAAACACATCACAAATAAGTTTCTGAGAATGCTTCCGTCTAGTTTTTATGGGAAGATATTTCCTTTTTCAACATAGGCCTGAAAGCGCTCCAAATGTCCACTTCCAGATACTACAAAAAGAGTGTTTCAAATCTGCTCTATGAATGGGAATGTTCTACTCTGTGACTTGAATGCAACATCCCAAAGAAGTTTCTGAGAATGCTTCTGTCTAGAGTTTATCTGAAGACATACTCGTTTCCAACGAAATCCTCAAAGCTATCCAAATATCCTCTTGCAGATTCTACAAAAAGTGTGTTTCAAAGCTGCTCTTTGCAAAGAAAGGTTCAACTCTGTCAGTAGAGGGCACACATCACGAACAAGTTTCTGAGAATGCTTCTGTCTAGTTTTTATGGGAAGATATTTCCTTTTTCACGTTAGGCCTGAAAGCACGCCAAATGTTCACTTATAGACACTACAAAAAGAGTGTTTCAAACCTGCTCTGTGAAAGGGAATGTTCAACACTGTGACTTCAATTGAAACATCCCAAAGAAGTTTCTGAGAATGCTTCTGTCTAGAGTTTATCTGAAGACATTCCCGTTTCCCAAGAAATCCTCAAAGCTATCCAAATATCCTCTTGCAGATTCTACAAAAAGAGTGTTTCAAAACTGCTCTTTGCAAAGAAAGGTTCAACTCTGTCAGTAGAGGGCACACATCACAAACAAGTTTCTGAGAATGCTTCTGTCTAGTTTTTATGGGAAGATATTTCCTTTTTCACCTTAGGCCTGAAAGCAATCCATATGTTCACTTACAGACACTACAAAAAGAGTGTTTCAAACCTGCTCTGTGAAAGGGAGTGTTCAATTCTGTGACTTGAATGCAAACATCACAAAGTAGTTTCTGACAATGCTGCTGTCTGCTTTTTATACGTATTCCCGTTTCCAACGAAATCCTCCAAGCTGGCCTAATACCCACTTGCATATTCCACAAAAAGAGTGTTTCAAAACTGCTCTCTCAAAAGAAAGGTTCAACTCTGTTAGCTGAGTAGATACATCATGAAAAAAGTTCTGACATTGCTTCTATCTACTTTTTATTGGAAGATATCTCCTTTTTCACCGTAGACCTGAAAGCGCTCCAAATGTCCACTTCCAGATAGTACAAAAAGAGTGTTTCAAACCTGCTCTATGAATGGGAATGTTCAACACTGGGACTTCAATTGAAACATCCCAAAGCAGTTTCTGAGAATGCTTCTGTGTAGAGTTTACATGAAGACATTCCCGTTTCCAACGAAATCCTCAAAGCTATCCAAATATCCTCTTGCAGATTTTACAAAAAGTGTGTTTCAGAACTGCTCTATCAAAACAAAGGTTCAACACTGTCAGTTGAGGGCACACATCACAAATAAGTTTCTGAGAATGCTGCTGTCTGCTTTTTGTATGTAATCCCGTTTCCAACGAAATCCTCCCAGCTAGCCAAATATCCACTTGCAGATTCCGCAAAAAGAGTGTTTCAAAACTGCTCCTTCAAAACGATGGTTTAGTTCTGTTAGTTGAGTACATACATCACAGATAAGTTTCTGAGAATGCTTCTGTCTAGTTTTTATGGGAGGATATTTCCTTTTTCAACACAAGCCTGAATGCGCTCCGAATGGACACTTCCAGATATGACAAAAGGCGTGTTTCAAACCTGCTCTCTCAAAGGGAATGTTCAACTCTGTGACTTCAATGCAAACATCACAAAGAAGTTTCTGAGAATGCTGCTGTCTGCTTTTTACATGTATTCCCGTTTCCAACGAAATCCTCAAAGCTGCCCTAATATCCACTTGCATATTCCACAAAAAGAGTGTTGCAAAACTGCTCTCTCAAAAGAAAGGTTCAACTCTGTTAGCTGAGTAGATCCATCACATAAAAGTTTCTGACATTGCTTCTATCTAGATTTTCTTGGAAGATATTTCCATTTTCACCGTCGTCCTGAAAGCGCTCCAAATGTCCACTTCCAGGGAATGCAGAAAGAGTGTTTCCAACCTGCTCTATAAAAGGGAATGTTCAACACTGGGACTTCAATCGAAACATCCCAACGAAGTTTCTGAGAATGCTTCTGTCTAGAGTTTATATGAAGCCATTCCCGTTTGCAACGAAATCCTCAAAGCTATCCAAATATCCTCTTGCAGATTTTACAAAAAGAGTGTTTCAAAACTGCTCTATCAAAAGAAAGGTTCAACTCTGTTAGTTGAGGGCACACATCACAAATAAACTTCTGAGAATGCTTCTGTCTAGTTTTTACGGGAAGATATTTCCTTTTTCACCATACGCCTGAAAGCGCTCCAAATGTCCTCATCCAGATACTACAAAAAGAGTGTTTCCAACCTGCTCTATGAAAGGGAATGCTCAACTCTGTGACTTGAATGCAGACATCACAAAGAGGTTTCTGAGAATGCTGCTGTCTCCTTTTTATATGTAATCCCGTTTCCAACGAAATCCTCAAAGCTAGCCAAATATCCACTTGCAGATTCCACGAAAACAGTGTTTCAAAACTGCTCCTTCAAAACGATGGTTCAATCCTGTTAGTTGAGCAAACACATCACAAATAAGTTTCTGAGAATGCTTCCGTCTAGTTTTTATGGGAAGATATTTCGTTTCTCAACATAGGCCTGAAAGCGCTCCAAATGTCCACTTCCAGATACTACAAAAAGAGTGTTTCAAATCTGCTCTATGAATGGGAATGTTCTACTCTGTGACTTGAATGCAACATCCCAAAGAAGTTTCTGAGAATGCTTCTGTCTAGAGTTTATGTGAAGACATACCCGTTTCCAACGAAATCCTCAAAGCTATCCAAATATCCTCTTGCAGATTCTACAAAAAGAGTGTTTCAAAGCTGCTCTTTGCAAAGAAAGGTTCAACTCTGTCAGTAGAGGGCACACATCACAAACAAGTTTCTGAGAATGCTTCTGTCTAGTTTTTATGGGAAGATATTTCCTTTTTCACGTTAGGCCTGAAAGCACGCCAAATGTTCACTTATAGACACTACAAAAAGAGTGTTTCAAACCTGCTCTGTGAAAGGGAATGTTCAACACTGTGACTTCAATTGAAACATCCCAAAGAAGTTTCTGAGAATGCTTCTGTCTAGAGTTTATCTGAAGACATTCCCGTTTCCCAAGAAATCCTCAAAGCTATCCAAATATCCTCTTGCAGATTCTACAAAAAGAGTGTTTCAAAACTGCTCTTTGCAAAGAAAGGTTCAACTCTGTCAGTAGAGGGCACACATCACAAACAAGTTTCTGAGAATGCTTCTGTCTAGTTTTTATGGGAAGATATTTCCTTTTTCACCTTAGGCCTGAAAGCAATCCAAATGTTCACTTACAGACACTACAAAAAGAGTGTTTCAAACCTGCTCTGTGAAAGGGAGTGTTCAATTCTGTGACTTGAATGCAAACATCACAAAGTAGTTTCTGACAATGCTGCTGTCTGCTTTTTATACGTATTCCCGTTTCCAACGAAATCCTCCAAGCTGGCCTAATACCCACTTGCATATTCCACAAAGACAGTGTCAAAACTGCTCTCTCAAAAGAAAGGTTCAACTCTGTTTGCTGAGTAGATACATCATGAAAAAAGTTCTGACATTGCTTCTATCTAGTTTTTATTGGAAGATATCTCCTTTTTCACCGTAGACCTGAAAGCGCTCCAAATGTCCACTTCCAGATAGTACAAAAAGAGTGTTTCAAACCTGCTCTATGAATGGGAATGTTCAACACTGGGACTTCAATTGAAACATCCCAAAGCAGTTTCTGAGAATGCTTCTGTGTAGAGTTTACATGAAGACATTCCCGTTTCCAACGAAATCCTCAAATCTATCCAAATATCCTCTTGCAGATTTTACAAAAAGTGTGTTTCAGAACTGCTCTATCAAAACAAAGGTTCAACACTGTCAGTTGAGGGCACACATCACAAATAAGTTTCTGAGAATGCTTCTGTCTAGTTTTCATGGGAAGATATTTCCTTTTTCACCATAGGCCTGAAAGCGATCCAAATGTCCACATCCAGATACTACAAAAAGAGTGTTTCAAACCTGCTCTATGAAAGGGAATGTTCAACTCTGTGACTTGAATGCAAACATCACAAAGAAGTTTCTGAGAATGCTGCTGTCTCCTTTTTATATGTAATCCCGTTTCCAACGAAATCCTCAAAGCTAGCCAAATATCCACTTGCAGATTCCACGAAAACAGTGTTTCAAAACTGCTCCTTCAAAAGGATGGTTCAATCCTGTTAGTTGAGCAAACACATCACAAATAAGTTTCTGAGAATGCTTCCGTCTAGTTTTTATGGGAAGATATTTCCTTTTTCAACATAGGCCTGAAAGCGCTCCAAATGTCCACTTCCAGATACTACAAAAAGAGTGTTTCAAATCTGCTCTATGAATGGGAATGTTCTACTCTGTGACTTGCATGCAACATCCCAAAGAAGTTTCTGAGAATGCTTCTGTCTAGAGTTTATCTGAAGACATACCCGTTTCCAACGAAATCCTCAAAGCTATCCAAATATCCTCATGCAGATTCTACAAAAAGTGTGTTTCAAAGCTGCTCTTTGCAAAGAAAGGTTCAACTCTGTCAGTAGAGGGCACACATCACGAACAAGTTTCTGAGAATGCTTCTGTCTAGTTTTTATGGGAAGATATTTCCTTTTTCACGTTAGGCCTGAAAGCACGCCAAATGTTCACTTATAGACACTACAAAAAGAGTGTTTCAAACCTGCTCTGTGAAAGGGAATGTTCAACACTGTGACTTCAATTGAAACATCCCAAAGAAGTTTCTGAGAATGCTTCTGTCTAGAGTTTATCTGAAGACATACCCGTTTCCAACGAAATCCTCAAAGCTATCCACATATCCTCTTGCAGATTCTACAAAAAGAGTGTTTCAAAGCTGCTCTTTGCAAAGAAAGGTTCAACTCTGTCAGTAGAGGGCACACATCACGAACAAGTTTCTGAGAATGCTTCTGTCTAGTTTTTATGGGAAGATATTTCCTTTTTCACGTTAGGCCTGAAAGCACGCCAAATGTTCAATTATAGACACTACAAAAAGAGTGTTTCAAACCTGCTCTGTGAAAGGGAATGTTCAACACTGTGACTTCAATTGAAACATCCCAAAGAAGTTTCTGAGAATGCTTCTGTCTAGAGTTTATCTGAAGACATTCCCGTTTCCCAAGAAATCCTCAAAGCTATCCAAATATCCTCTTGCAGATTCTACAAAAAGAGTGTTTCAAAACTGCTCTTTGCAAAGAAAGGTTCAACTCTGTCAGTAGAGGGCACACATCACAAACAAGTTTCTGAGAATGCTTCTGTCTAATTTTTATGGGAAGATATTTCCTTTTTCACCTTAGGCCTGAAAGCAATCCAAATGTTCACTTACAGACACTACAAAAAGAGTGTTTCAAACCTGCTCTGTGAAAGGGAGTGTTCAATTCTGTGACTTGAATGCAAACATCACAAAGTAGTTTTCTGACAATGCTGGCTGTCTGCTTTTTATACGTATTCCCGTTTCCAACGAAATCCTCCAAGCTGGCCAAATACCCACTTGCATATTCCACAAAAAGAGTGTTTCAAAACTGCTCTCTCAAAAGAAAGGTTCAACTCTGTTTGCTGAGTAGATACATCATGAAAAAAGTTCTGACATTGCTTCTATCTAGTTTTTATTGGAAGATATCTCCTTTTTCACCGTAGACCTGAAAGCGCTCCAAATGTCCACTTCCAGATAGTACAAAAAGAGTGTTTCAAACCTGCTCTATGAAAGGGAATGTTCAACACTGGGACTTCAATTGAAACATCCCAAAGCAGTTTCTGAGAATGCTTCTGTCTAGAGTTTACAAGAAGACATTCCCGTTTCCAACGAAATCCTCAAAGCTATCCAAATATCCTCTTGCAGATTTTACAAAAAGTGTGTTTCAGAACTGCTCTATCAAAACAAAGGTTCAACACTGTCAGTTGAGGGCACACATCACAAATAAGTTTCTGAGAATGCTTCTGTCTAGTTTTCATGGGAAGATATTTCCTTTTTCACCATAGGCCTGAAAGCGATCCAAATGTCCACATCCAGATACTACAAAAAGAGTGTTTCAAACCTGCTCTATGAAAGGGAATGTTCAACTCTGTGACTTGAATGCAAACATCACAAAGAAGTTTCTGAGAATGCTGCTGTCTCCTTTTTATATGTAATCCCGTTTCCAACGAAATCCTCAAAGCTAGCCAAATATCCACTTGCAGATTCCACGAAAACAGTGTTTCAAAACTGCTCCTTCAAAACGATGGTTCAATTCTGTTAGTTGAGCAAACACATCACAAGTAAGTTTCTGAGAATGCTTCCGTCTAGTTTTTATGGGAAGATATTTCCTTTTTCAACATAGGCCTGAAAGCGCTCCAAATGTCCACTTCCAGATACTACAAAAAGAGTGTTTCAAATCTGCTCTATGAATGGGAATGTTCTACTCTGTGACTTGAATGCAACATCCCAAAGAAGTTTCTGAGAATGCTTCTGTCTAGAGTTTATCTGAAGACATACCCGTTTCCAACGAAATCCTCAAAGCTATCCAAATATCCTCTTGCAGATTCTACAAAAAGTGTGTTTCAAAGCTGCTCTTTGCAAAGAAAGGGTTCAACTCTGTCAGTAGAGGGCACACATCACGAACAAGTTTCTGAGAATGCTTCCGTCTAGTTTTTATGGGAAGATATTTCCTTTTTCACGTTACGCCTGAAAGCACGCCAAATGTTCACTTATAGACACTACAAAAAGAGTGTTTCAAACCTGCTCTGTGAAAGGGAATGTTCAACACTGTGACTTCAATTGAAACATCCCAAAGAAGTTTCTGAGAATGCTTCTGTCTAGAGTTTATCTGAAGACATACCCGTTTCCAACGAAATCCTCAAAGCTATCCAAATATCCTCTTGCAGATTCTACAAAAAGAGTGTTTCAAAGCTGCTCTTTGCAAAGAAAGGTTCAACTCTGTCAGTAGAGGGCACACATCACGAACAAGTTTCTGAGAATGCTTCTGTCTAGTTTTTATGGGAAGATATTTCCTTTTTCACGTTAGGCCTGAAAGCACGCCAAATGTTCACTTATAGACACTACAAAAAGAGTGTTTCAAACCTGCTCTGTGAAAGGGAATGTTCAACACTGTGACTTCAATTGAAACATCCCAAAGAAGTTTCTGAGAATGCTTCTGTCTAGAGTTTATCTGAAGACATTCCCGTTTCCCAAGAAATCCTCAAAGCTATCCAAATATCCTCTTGCAGATTCTACAAAAAGAGTGTTTCAAAACTGCTCTTTGCAAAGAAAGGTTCAACTCTGTCAGTAGAGGGCACACATCACAAACTAGTTTCTGAGAATGCTTCTGTCTAGTTTTTATGGGAAGATATTTCCTTTTTCACCTTAGGCCTGAAAGCAATCCAAATGTTCACTTACAGACACTACAAAAAGAGTGTTTCAAACCTGCTCTGTGAAAGGGAGTGTTCAATTCTGTGACTTGAATGCAAACATCACAAAGTAGTTTCTGACAATGCTGCTGTCTGCTTTTTATACGTATTCCCGTTTCCAACGAAATCCTCCAAGCTGGCCTAATACCCACTTGCATATTCCACAAAAATAGTGTTTCAAAACTGCTCCCTCAAAAGAAAGGTTCAACTCTGTTTGCTGAGTAGATACATCATGAAAAAAGTTCTGACATTGCTTCTATCTAGTTTTTATTGGAAGATATCTCCTTTTTCACCGTAGACCTGAAAGCGCTCCAAATGTCCACTTCCAGATAGTACAAAAAGAGTGTTTCAAACCTGCTCTATGAATGGGAATGTTCAACACTGGGACTTCAATTGAAACATCCCAAAGCAGTTTCTGAGAATGCTTCTGTCTAGAGTTTACATGAAGACATTCCCGTTTCCAACGAAATCCTCAAAGCTATCCAAATATCCTCTTGCAGATTTTACAAAAAGTGTGTTTCAGAACTGCTCTATCAAAACAAAGGTTCAACACTGTCAGTTGAGGGCACACATCACAAATAAGTTTCTGAGAATGCTGCTGTCTGCTTTTTGTATGTAATCCCGTTTCCAACGAAATCCTCCCAGCTAGCCAAATATCCACTTGCAGATTCCGCAAAAAGAGTGTTTCAAAACTGCTCCTTCAAAACGATGGTTTAGTTCTGTTAGTTGAGTACATACATCACAGATAAGTTTCTGAGAATGCTTCTGTCTAGTTTTTATGGGAGGATATTTCCTTTTTCAACACAAGCCTGAATGCGCTCCGAATGGACACTTCCAGATATGACAAAAGGCGTGTTTCAAACCTGCTCTCTCAAAGGGAATGTTCAACTCTGTGACTTCAATGCAAACATCACAAAGAAGTTTCTGAGAATGCTGCTGTCTGCTTTTTACATGTATTCCCGTTTCCAACGAAATCCTCAAAGCTGCCCTAATATCCACTTGCATATTCCACAAAAAGAGTGTTGCAAAACTGCTCTCTCAAAAGAAAGCTTCAACTCTGTTAGCTGAGTAGATCCATCACATAAAAGTTTCTGACATTGCTTCTATCTAGATTTTCTTGGAAGATATTTCCATTTTCACCGTCGTCCTGAAAGCGCTCCAAATGTCCACTTCCAGGGAATGCAGAAAGAGTGTTTCCAACCTGCTCTATAAAAGGGAATGTTCAACACTGGGACTTCAATCGAAACATCCCAACGAAGTTTCTGAGAATGCTTCTGTCTAGAGTTTATATGAAGCCATTCCCGTTTGCAACGAAATCCTCAAAGCTATCCAAATATCCTCTTGCAGATTTTACAAAAAGAGTGTTTCAAAACTGCTCTATCAAAAGAAAGGTTCAACTTCTGTTAGTTGAGGGCACACATCACAAATAAACTTCTGAGAATGCTTCTGTCTAGTTTTTACGGGAAGATATTTCCTTTTTCACCATACGCCTGAAAGCGCTCCAAATGTCCTCATCCAGATACTACACAAAGAGTGTTTCCAACCTGCTCTATGAAAGGGAATGCTCAACTCTGTGACTTGAATGCAGACATCATAAAGAAGTTTCTGAGAATGCTGCTGTCTCCTTTTTATATGTAATCCCGTTTCCAACGAAATCCTCAAAGCTAGCCAAATATCCACTTGCAGATTCCACGAAAACAGTGTTTCAAAACTGCTCCTTTAAAACGATGGTTCAATTCTGTTAGTTGAGCAAACACATCACAAGTAAGTTTCTGAGAATGCTTCCGTCTAGTTTTTATGGGAAGATATTTCCTTTTTCAACATAGGCCTGAAAGCGCTCCAAATGTCCACTTCCAGATACTACAAAAAGAGTGTTTCAAATCTGCTCTATGAATGGGAATGTTCTACTCTGTGACTTGAATGCAACATCCCAAAGAAGTTTCTGAGAATGCTTCTGTCTAGAGTTTATCTGAAGACATACCCGTTTCCAACGAAATCCTCAAAGCTATCCACATATCCTCTTGCAGATTCTACAAAAAGAGTGTTTCAAAGCTGCTCTTTGCAAAGAAAGGTTCAACTCTGTCAGTAGAGGGCACACATCACAAACAAGTTTCTGAGAATGCTTCTGTCTAGTTTTTATGGGAAGATATTTCCTTTTTCACGTTAGGCCTGAAAGCACGCCAAATGTTCAATTATAGACACTACAAAAAGAGTGTTTCAAACCTGCTCTGTGAAAGGGAATGTTCAACACTGTGACTTCAATTGAAACATCCCAAAGAAGTTTCTGAGAATGCTTCTGTCTAGAGTTTATCTGAAGACATTCCCGTTTCCCAAGAAATCCTCAAAGCTATCCAAATATCCTCTTGCAGATTCTACAAAAAGAGTGTTTCAAAACTGCTCTTTGCAAAGAAAGGTTCAACTCTGTCAGTAGAGGACACACATCACAAACAAGTTTCTGAGAATGCTTCTGTCTAGTTTTTATGGGAAGATATTTCCTTTTTCACCTTAGGCCTGAAAGCAATCCAAATGTTCACTTACAGACACTACAAAAAGAGTGTTTCAAACCTGCTCTGTGAAAGGGAGTGTTCAGTTCTGTGACTTGAATGCAAACATCACAAAGTAGTTTCTGACAATGCTGCTGTCTGCTTTTTATACGTATTCCCGTTTCCAACGAAATCCTCCAAGCTGGCCTAATACCCACTTTCATATTCCACAAAAAGAGTGTTTCAAAACTGCTCTCTCAAAAGAAAGGTTCAACTCTGTTTGCTGAGTAGATACATCATGAAAAAAGTTCTGACATTGCTTCTATCTAGTTTTTATTGGAAGATATCTCCTTTTTCACCGTAGACCTGAAAGCGCTCCAAATGTCCACTTCCAGATAGTACAAAAAGAGTGTTTCAAACCTGCTCTATGAATGGGAATGTTCAACACTGGGACTTCAATTGAAACATCCCAAAGCAGTTTCTGAGAATGCTTCTGTCTAGAGTTTACATGAAGACATTCCCGTTTCCAACGAAATCCTCAAAGCTATCCAAATATCCTCTTGCAGATTTTACAAAAAGTGTGTTTCAGAACTGCTCTATCAAAGCAAAGGTTCAACACTGTCAGTTGAGTGCACACATCACAAATAAGTTTCTGAGAATGCTTCTGTCTAGTTTTCATGGGAAGATATTTCCTTTTTCACCATAGGCCTAAAAGCGATCCAAATGTCCACATCCAGATACTACAAAAAGAGTGTTTCCAACCTGCTCTATGAAAGGGAATGCTCAACTCTGTGAATTGAATGCAGACATCACAAAGAAGTTTCTGAGAATGCTTCTGTCTAGTTTTTATGGGAGGATATTTCCTTTTTCAACACAAGCCTGAATGCGCTCCGAATGGACACTTCCAGATATGACAAAAGGCGTGTTTCAAACCTGCTCTCTCAAAGGGAATGTTCAACTCTGTGACTTCAATGCAAACATCACAAAGAAGTTTCTGAGAATGCTGCTGTCTGCTTTTTACATGTATTCCCGTTTCCAACGAAATCCTCAAAGCTGCCCTAATATCCACTTGCATATTCCACAAAAAGAGTGTTGCAAAACTGCTCTCTCAAAAGAAAGGTTCAACTCTGTTAGCTGAGTAGATCCATCACAGAAAAGTTTCTGACGTTGCTTCTATCTAGATTTTCTTGGAAGATATTTCCATTTTCACCGTCGTCCTGAAAGCGCTCCAAATGTCCACTTCCAGGGAATGCAGAAAGAGTGTTTCCAACCTGCTCTATAAAAGGGAATGTTCAACACTGGGACTTCAATCGAAACATCCCAACGAAGTTTCTGAGAATGCTTCTGTCTAGAGTTTATATGAAGCCATTCCCGTTTGCAACGAAATCCTCAAAGCTATCCAAATATCCTCTTGCAGATTTTACAAAAAGAGTGTTTCAAAACTGCTCTATCAAAAGAAAGGTTCAACTCTGTTAGTTGAGGGCACACATCACAAATAAACTTCTGAGAATGCTTCTGTCTAGTTTTTACGGGAAGATATTTCCTTTTTCACCATAGGCCTGAAAGCGCTCCAAATGTCCTCATCCAGATACTACAAAAAGAGTGTTTCCAACGTGCTCTATGAAAGGGAATGCTCAACTCTGTGAATTGAATGCAGACATCACAAAGAAGTTTCTGAGAATGCTGCTGTCTCCTTTTTACATGTAATCCCGTTTCCAACGAAATCCTCAAAGCTAGCCAAATATCCACTTGCAGATTCCACGAAAACAGTGTTTCAAAACTGCTCCTTCAAAACGATGGTTCAATCCTGTTAGTTGAGCAAACACATCACAAATAAGTTTCGGAGAATGCTTCCGTCTAGTTTTTATGGGAAGATATTTCCTTTTTCAACATAGGCCTGAAAGCGCTCCAAATGTCCACTTCCAGATACTACAAAAAGAGTGTTTCAAATCTGCTCTATGAATGGGAATGTTCTACTCTGTGACTTGAATGCAACATCCCAAAGAAGTTTCTGAGAATGCTTCTGTCTAGAGTTTATCTGAAGACATACCCGTTTCCAACGAAATCCTCCAAGCTATCCAAATATCCTCTTGCAGATTCTACAAAAAGAGTGTTTCAAAGCTGCTCTTTGCAAAGAAAGGTTCAACTCTGTCAGTAGAGGGGACACATCAAGAACAAGTTTCTGAGAATGCTTCTGTCTAGTTTTTATGGGAAGATATTTCCTTTTTCACGTTAGGCCTGAAAGCACGCCAAATGTTCACTTATAGACACTACAAAAAGAGTGTTTCAAACCTGCTCTGTGAAAGGGAATGTTCAACACTGTGACTTCAATTGAAACATCCCAAAGAAGTTTCTGAGAATGCTTCTGTCTAGAGTTTATCTGAAGACATTCCCGTTTCCCAAGAAATCCTCAAAGCTATCCAAATATCCTCTTGCAGATTCTACAAAAAGAGTGTTTCAAAACTGCTCTTTGCAAAGAAAGGTTCAACTCTGTCAGTAGAGGGCACACATCACAAACAAGTTTCTGAGAGTGCTTCTGTCTAGTTTTCATGGGAAGATATTTCCTTTTTCACCATAGGCCTGAAAGCGATCCAAATGTCCACATCCAGATACTACAAAAAGAGTGTTTCAAACCTGCTCTATGAAAGGGAATGTTCAACTCTGTGACTTGAATGCAAACATCACAAAGAAGTTTCTGAGAATGCTGCTGTCTCCTTTTTATATGTAATCCCGTTTCCAACGAAATCCTCAAAGCTAGCCAAATATCCACTTGCAGATTCCACGAAAACAGTGTTTCAAAACTGCTCCTTCAAAACGATGGTTCAATTCTGTTAGTTGAGCAAACACATCACAAGTAAGTTTCTGAGAATGCTTCCGTCTAGTTTTTATGGGAAGATATTTCCTTTTTCAACATAGGCCTGAAAGCGCTCCAAATGTCCACTTCCAGATACTACAAAAAGAGTGTTTCAAATCTGCTCTATGAATGGGAATGTTCTACTCTGTGACTTGAATGCAACATCCCAAAGAAGTTTCTGAGAATGCTTCTGTCTAGAGTTTATCTGAAGACATACCCGTTTCCAACGAAATCCTCAAAGCTATCCAAATATCCTCTTGCAGATTCTACAAAAAGAGTGTTTCAAAGCTGCTCTTTGCAAAGAAAGGTTCAACTCTGTCAGTAGAGGGCACACATCATGAATAAGTTTCTGAGAATGCTTCTGTCTAGTTTTTATGGGAAGATATTTCCTTTTTCACGTTAGGCCTGAAAGCACGCCAAATGTTCACTTATAGACACTACAAAAAGAGTGTTTCAAACCTGCTCTGTGAAAGGGAATGTTCAACACTGTGACTTCAATTGAAACATCCCAAAGAAGTTTCTGAGAATGCTTCTGTCTAGAGTTTATCTGAAGACATTCCCGTTTCCCAAGAAATCCTCAAAGCTATCCAAATATCCTCTTGCAGATTCTACAAAAAGAGTGTTTCAAAACTGCTCTTTGCAAAGAAAGGTTCAACTCTGTCAGTAGAGGGCACACATCACAAACAAGTTTCTGAGAATGCTTCTGTCTAGTTTTTATGGGAAGATATTTCCTTTTTCACCTTAGGCCTGAAAGCAATCCATATGTTCACTTACAGACACTACAAAAAGAGTGTTTCAAACCTGCTCTGTGAAAGGGAGTGTTCAATTCTGTGACTTGAATGCAAACATCACAAAGTAGTTTCTGACAATGCTGCTGTCTGCTTTTTATACGTATTCCCGTTTCCAACGAAATCCTCCAAGCTGGCCTAATACCCACTTGCATATTCCACAAAAAGAGTGTTTCAAAACTGCTCTCTCAAAAGAAAGGTTCAACTCTGTTTGCTGAGTAGATACATCATGAAAAAAGTTCTGACATTGCTTCTATCTAGTTTTTATTGGAAGATATCTCCTTTTTCACCGTAGACCTGAAAGCGCTCCAAATGTCCACTTCCAGATAGTACAAAAAGAGTGTTTCAAACCTGCTCTATGAATGGGAATGTTCAACACTGGGACTTCAATTGAAACATCCCAAAGCAGTTTCTGAGAATGCTTCTGTCTAGAGTTTACATGAAGACATTCCCGTTTCCAACGAAATCCTCAAAGCTATCCAAATATCCTCTTGCAGATTTTACAAAAAGTGTGTTTCAGAACTGCTCTATCAAAACAAAGGTTCAACACTGTCAGTTGAGGGCACACATCACAAATAAGTTTCTGAGAATGCTGCTGTCTGCTTTTTGTATGTAATCCCGTTTCCAACGAAATCCTCCCAGCTAGCCAAATATCCACTTGCAGATTCCGCAAAAAGAGTGTTTCAAAACTGCTCCTTCAAAACGATGGTTTAGTTCTGTTACTTGAGTACATACATCACAAATAAGTTTCTGAGAATGCTTCTGTCTAGTTTTTATGGGAGGATATTTCCTTTTTCAACACAAGCCTGAATGCGCTCCGAATGGACACTTCCAGATATGACAAAAGGCGTGTTTCAAACCTGCTCTCTCAAAGGGAATGTTCAACTCTGTGACTTCAATGCAAACATCACAAAGAAGTTTCTGAGAATGCTGCTGTCTGCTTTTTACATGTATTCCCGTTTCCAACGAAATCCTCAAAGCTGCCCTAATATCCACTTGCATATTCCACAAAAAGAGTGTTGCAAAACTGCTCTCTCAAAAGAAAGGTTCAACTCTGTTAGCTGAGTAGATCCATCACAGAAAAGTTTCTGACGTTGCTTCTATCTAGATTTTCTTGGAAGATATTTCCATTTTCACCGTCGTCCTGAAAGCGCTCCAAATGTCCACTTCCAGGGAATGCAGAAAGAGTGTTTCCAACCTGCTCTATAAAAGGGAATGTTCAACACTGGGACTTCAATCGAAACATCCCAACGAAGTTTCTGAGAATGCTTCTGTCTAGAGTTTATATGAAGCCATTCCCGTTTGCAATGAAATCCTCAAAGCTATCCAAATATCCTCTTGCAGATTTTACAAAAAGAGTGTTTCAAAACTGCTCTATCAAAAGAAAGGTTCAACTCTGTTAGTTGAGGGCACACATCACAAATAAATTTCTGAGAATGCTTCTGTCTAGTTTTTACGGGAAGATATTTCCTTTTTCACCATACGCCTGAAAGCGCTCCAAATGTCCTCATCCAGATACTACAAAAAGAGTGTTTCCAACCTGCTCTATGAAAGGGAATGCTCAACTCTGTGACTTGAATGCAGACATCACAAAGAGGTTTCTGAGAATGCTGCTGTCTCCTTTTTATATGTAATCCCGTTTCCAACGAAATCCTCAAAGCTAGCCAAATATCCACTTGCAGATTCCACGAAAACAGTGTTTCAAAACTGCTCCTTCAAAACGATGGTTCAATCCTGTTAGTTGAGCAAACACATCACAAATAAGTTTCTGAGAATGCTTCCGTCTAGTTTTTATGGGAAGATATTTCCTTTTTCAACATAGGCCTGAAAGCGCTCCAAATGTCCACTTCCAGATACTACAAAAAGAGTGTTTCAAATCTGCTCTATGAATGGGAATGTTCTACTCTGTGACTTGAATGCAACATCCCAAAGAAGTTTCTGAGAATGCTTCTGTCTAGAGTTTATCTGAAGACATACCCGTTTCCAACGAAATCCTCCAAGCTATCCAAATATCCTCTTGCAGATTCTACAAAAAGAGTGTTTCAAAGCTGCTCTTTGCAAAGAAAGGTTCAACTCTGTCAGTAGAGGGCACACATCATGAACAAGTTTCTGAGAATGCTTCTGTCTAGTTTTTATGGGAAGATATTTCCTTTTTCACGTTAGGCCTGAAAGCACGCCAAATGTTCACTTATAGACACTACAAAAAGAGTGTTTCAAACCTGCTCTGTGAAAGGGAATGTTCAACACTGTGACTTCAATTGAAACATCCCAAAGAAGTTTCTGAGAATGCTTCTGTCTAGAGTTTATCTGAAGACATTCCCGTTTCCAACGAAATCCTCAAAGCTATCCACATATCCTCTTGCAGATTCTACAAAAAGAGTGTTTCAAAGCTGCTCTTTGCAAAGAAAGGTTCAACTCTGTCAGTAGAGGGCACACATCACAAACAAGTTTCTGAGAATGCTTCTGTCTAGTTTTTATGGGAAGATATTTCCTTTTTCACCTTAGGCCTGAAAGCACGCCAAATGTTCACTTATAGACACTACAAAAAGAGTGTTTCAAACCTGCTCTGTGAAAGGGAGTGTTCAATTCTGTGACTTGAATGCAAACATCACAAAGTAGTTTCTGACAATGCTGCTGTCTGCTTTTTATACGTATTCCCGTTTCCAACGAAATCCTCCAAGCTGGCCTAATACCCACTTGCATATTCCACAAAAAGAGTGTTTCAAAACTGCTCTCTCAAAAGAAAGGTTCAACTCTGTTAGCTGAGTAGATACATCATGAAAAAAGTTCTGACATTGCTTCTATCTAGTTTTTATTGGAAGATATCTCCTTTTTCACCGTAGACCTGAAAGCGCTCCAAATGTCCACTTCCAGATAGTACAAAAAGAGTGTTTCAAACCTGCTCTATGAATGGGAATGTTCAACACTGGGACTTCAATTGAAACATCCCAAAGCAGTTTCTGAGAATGCTTCTGTCTAGAGTTTACATGAAGACATTCCCGTTTCCAACGAAATCCTCAAAGCTATCCAAATATCCTCTTGCAGATTTTACAAAAAGTGTGTTTCAGAACTGCTCTATCAAAACAAAGGTTCAACACTGTCAGTTGAGGGCACACATCACAAATAAGTTTCTGAGAATGCTGCTGTCTGCTTTTTGTATGTAATCCCGTTTCCAACGAAATCCTCCCAGCTAGCCAAATATCCACTTGCAGATTCCGCAAAAAGAGTGTTTCAAAACTGCTCCTTCAAAACGATGGTTTAGTTCTGTTAGTTGAGTACATACATCACAGATAAGTTTCTGAGAATGCTTCTGTCTAGTTTTTATGGGAGGATATTTCCTTTTTCAACACAAGCCTGAATGCGCTCCGAATGGACACTTCCAGATATGACAAAAGGCGTGTTTCAAACCTGCTCTCTCAAAGGGAATGTTCAACTCTGTGACTTCAATGCAAACATCACAAAGAAGTTTCTGAGAATGCTGCTGTCTGCTTTTTACATGTATTCCCGTTTCCAACGAAATCCTCAAAGCTGCCCTAATATCCACTTGCATATTCCACAAAAAGAGTGTTGCAAAACTGCTCTCTCAAAAGAAAGGTTCAACTCTGTTAGCTGAGTAGATCCATCACAGAAAAGTTTCTGACGTTGCTTCTATCTAGATTTTCTTGGAAGATATTTCCATTTTCACCGTCGTCCTGAAAGCGCTCCAAATGTCCACTTCCAGGGAATGCAGAAAGAGTGTTTCCAACCTGCTCTATGAAAGGGAATGTTCAACACTGGGACTTCAATCGAAACATCCCAACGAAGTTTCTGAGAATGCTTCTGTCTAGAGTTTATATGAAGCCATTCCCGTTTGCAACGAAATCCTCAAAGCTATCCAAATATCCTCTTGCAGATTTTACAAAAAGAGTGTTTCAAAACTGCTCTATCAAAAGAAAGGTTCAACTCTGTTAGTTGAGGGCACACATCAGAAATAAACTTCTGAGAATGCTTCTGTCTAGTTTTTACGGGAAGATATTTCCTTTTTCACCATACGCCTGAAAGCGCTCCAAATGTCCTCATCCAGATACTACAAAAAGAGTGTTTCCAACCTGCTCTATGAAAGGGAATGCTCAACTCTGTGACTTGAATGCAGACATCACAAAGAAGTTTCTGAGAATGCTGCTGTCTCCTTTTTATATGTAATCCCGTTTCCAACGAAATCCTCAAAGCTAGCCAAATATCCACTTGCAGATTCCACGAAAACAGTGTTTCAAAACTGCTCCTTCAAAACGATGGTTCAATTCTGTTAGTTGAGCAAACACATCACAAGTAAGTTTCTGAGAATGCTTCCGTCTAGTTTTTATGGGAAGATATTTCCTTTTTCAACATAGGCCTGAAAGCGCTCCAAATGTCCACTTCCAGATACTACAAAAAGAGTGTTTCAAATCTGCTCTATGAATGGGAATGTTCTACTCTGTGACTTGAATGGAACATCCCAAAGAAGTTTCTGAGAATGCTTCTGTCTAGAGTTTATCTGAAGACATACCCGTTTCCAACGAAATCCTAAAAGCTATCCAAATATCCTCTTGCAGATTCTACAAAAAGTGTGTTTCAAAGCTGCTCTTTGCAAAGAAAGGTTCAACTCTGTCAGTAGAGGGCACACATCACGAACAAGTTTCTGAGAATGCTTCTGTCTAGTTTTTATGGGAAGATATTTCCTTTTTCACGTTAGGCCTGAAAGCACGCCAAATGTTCACTTATAGACACTACAAAAAGAGTGTTTCAAACCTGCTCTGTGAAAGGGAATGTTCAACACTGTGACTTCAATTGAAACATCCCAAAGAAGTTTCTGAGAATGCTTCTGTCTAGAGTTTATCTGAAGACATTCCCGTTTCCCAAGAAATCCTCAAAGCTATCCAAATATCCTCTTGCAGATTCTACAAAAAGAGTGTTTCAAAACTGCTCTTTGCAAAGAAAGGTTCAACTCTGTCAGTAGAGGGCACACATCACAAACAAGTTTCTGAGAATGCTTGTGTCTAGTTTTTATGGGAAGATATTTCCTTTTTCACATTAGGCCTGAAAGCAATCCAAATGTTCACTTACAGACACTACAAAAAGAGTGTTTCAAACCTGCTCTGTGAAAGGGAGTGTTCAATTCTGTGACTTGAATGCAAACATCACAAAGTAGTTTCTGACAATGCTGCTGTCTGCTTTTTATACGTATTCCCGTTTCCAACGAAATCCTCCAAGCTGGCCTAATACCCACTTGCATATTCCACACAAAGAGTGTTTCAAAACTGCTCTCTCAAAAGAAAGGTTCAACTCTGTTAGCTGAGTAGATATATCATGAAAAAAGTTCTGACATTGCTTCTATCTAGTTTTTATTGGAAGATATCTCCTTTTTCACCGTAGACCTGAAAGCGCTCCAAATGTCCACTTCCAGATAGTACAAAAAGAGTGTTTCAAACCTGCTCTATGAATGGGAATGTTCAACACTGGGACTTCAATTGAAACATCCCAAAGCAGTTTCTGAGAATGCTTCTGTCTAGAGTTTACATGAAGACATTCCCGTTTCCAACGAAATCCTCAAAGCTATCCAAATATCCTCTTGCAGATTTTACAAAAAGTGTGTTTCAGAACTGCTCTATCAAAACAAAGGTTCAACACTGTCAGTTGAGGGCACACATCACAAATAAGTTTCTGAGAATGCTGCTGTCTGCTTTTTGTATGTAATCCCGTTTCCAACGAAATCCTCCCAGCTAGCCAAATATCCACTTGCAGATTCCGCAAAAAGAGTGTTTCAAAACTGCTCCTTCAAAACGATGGTTTAGTTCTGTTAGTTGAGTACATACATCACAGATAAGTTTCTGAGAATGCTTCTGTCTAGTTTTTATGGGAGGATATTTCCTTTTTCAACACAAGCCTGAATGCGCTCCGAATGGACACTTCCAGATATGACAAAAGGCGTGTTTCAAACCTGCTCTCTCAAAGGGAATGTTCAACTCTGTGACTTCAATGCAAACATCACAAAGAAGTTTCTGAGAATGCTGCTGTCTGCTTTTTACATGTATTCCCGTTTCCAACGAAATCCTCAAAGCTGCCCTAATATCCACTTGCATATTCCACAAAAAGAGTGTTGCAAAACTGCTCTCTCAAAAGAAAGGTTCAACTCTGTTAGCTGAGTAGATCCATCACATAAAAGTTTCTGACATTGCTTCTATCTAGATTTTCTTGGAAGATATTTCCATTTTCACCGTCGTCCTGAAAGCGCTCCAAATGTCCACTTCCAGGGAAAGCAGAAAGAGTGTTTCCAACCTGCTCTATAAAAGGGAATGTTCAACACTGGGACTTCAATCGAAACATCCCAACGAAGTTTCTGAGAATGCTTCTGCCTAGAGTTTATGTGAAGCCATTCTCGTTTGCAACGAAATCCTCAAAGCTATCCAAATATCCTCTTGCAGATTTTACAAAAAGAGTGTTTCAAAACTGCTCTATCAAAAGAAAGGTTCAACTCTGTTAGTTGAGGGCACACATCACAAATAAACTTCTGAGAATGCTTCTGTCTAGTTTTTACGGGAAGATATTTCCTTTTTCACCATACGCCTGAAAGCGCTCCAAATGTCCTCATCCAGATACTACAAAAAGAGTGTTTCCAACCTGCTCTATGAAAGGGAATGCTCAACTCTGTGAATTGAATGCAGACATCACAAAGAAGTTTCTGAGAATGCTGCTGTCTCCTTTTTATATGTAATCCCGTTTCCAACGAAATCCTCAAAGCTAGCCAAATATCCACTTGCAGATTCCACGAAAACAGTGTTTCAAAACTGCTCCTTCAAAACGATGGTTCAATTCTGTTAGTTGAGCAAACACATCACAAGTAAGTTTCTGAGAATGCTTCCGTCTAGTTTTTATGGGAAGATATTTCCTTTTTCAACATAGGCCTGAAAGCGCTCCAAATGTCCACTTCCAGATACTACAAAAAGAGTGTTTCAAATCTGCTCTATGAATGGGAATGTTCTACTCTGTGACTTGAATGCAACATGCCAAAGAAGTTTCTGAGAATGCTTCTGTCTAGAGTTTATCTGAAGACATACCCGTTTCCAACGAAATCCTCAAAGCTATCCAAATATCCTCTTGCAGATTCTACAAAAAGTGTGTTTCAAAGCTGCTCTTTGCAAAGAAAGGTTCAACTCTGTCAGTAGAGGGCACACATCACGAACAAGTTTCTGAGAATGCTTCTGTCTAGTTTTTATGGGAAGATATTTCCTTTTTCACGTTAGGCCTGAAAGCACGCCAAATGTTCACTTATAGACACTACAAAAAGAGTGTTTCAAACCTGCTCTGTGAAAGGGAATGTTCAACACTGTGACTTCAATTGAAACATCCCAAAGAAGTTTCTGAGAATGCTTCTGTCTAGAGTTTATCTGAAGACATACCCGTTTCCAACGAAATCCTCAAAGCTATCCACATATCCTCTTGCAGATTCTACAAAAAGAGTGTTTCAAAACTGCTCTTTGCAAAGAAAGGTTCAACTCTGTCAGTAGAGGGCACACATCACGAACAAGTTTCTGAGAATGCTTCTGTCTAGTTTTTATGGGAAGATATTTCCTTTTTCACGTTAGGCCTGAAAGCACGCCAAATGTTCACTTATAGACACTACAAAAAGAGTGTTTCAAACCTGCTCTGTGAAAGGGAATGTTCAACACTGTGACTTCAATTGAAACATCCCAAAGAAGTTTCTGAGAATGCTTCTGTCTAGAGTTTATCTGAAGACATTCCCGTTTCCCAAGAAATCCTCAAAGCTATCCAAATATCCTCTTGCAGATTCTACAAAAAGAGTGTTTCAAAACTGCTCTTTGCAAAGAAAGGTTCAACTCTGTCAGTAGAGGGCACACATCACAAACAAGTTTCTGAGAATGCTTCTGTCTAGTTTTCATGGGAAGATATTTCCTTTTTCACCTTAGGCCTGAAAGCAATCCAAATGTTCACTTACAGACACTACAAAAAGAGTGTTTCAAACCTGCTCTGTGAAAGGGAGTGTTCAATTCTGTGACTTGAATGCAAACATCACAAAGTAGTTTCTGACAATGCTGCTGTCTGCTTTTTATACGTATTCCCGTTTCCAACGAAATCCTCCAAGCTGGCCTAATACCCACTTGCATATTCCACAAAAAGAGTGTTTCAAAACTGCTCTCTCAAAAGAAAGGTTCAACTCTGTTTGCTGAGTAGATACATCATGAAGAAAGTTCTGACATTGCTTCTATCTAGTTTTTATTGGAAGATATCTCCTTTTTCACCGTAGACCTGAAAGCGCTCCAAATGTCCACTTCCAGATAGTACAAAAAGAGTGTTTCAAACCTGCTCTATGAATGGGAATGTTCAACACTGGGACTTCAATTGAAACATCCCAAAGCAGTTTCTGAGAATGCTTCTGTCTAGAGTTCACATGAAGACATTCCCGTTTCCAACGAAATCCTCAAAGCTATCCAAATATCCTCTTGCAGATTTTACAAAAAGTGTGTTTCAGAACTGCTCTATCAAAACAAAGGTTCAACACTGTCAGTTGAGTGCACACATCACAAATAAGTTTCTGAGAATGCTTCTGTCTAGTTTTCATGGGAAGATATTTCCTTTTTCACCATAGGCCTGAAAGCGATCCAAATGTCCACATCCAGATACTACAAAAAGAGTGTTTCAAACCTGCTCTATGAAAGGGAATGTTCAACTCTGTGACTTGAATGCAAACATCACAAAGAAGTTTCTGAGAATGCTGCTGTCTCCTTTTTATATGTAATCCCGTTTCCAACGAAATCCTCAAAGCTAGCCAAATATCCACTTGCAGATTCCACGAAAACAGTGTTTCAAAACTGCTCCTTCAAAACGATGGTTCAATTCTGTTAGTTGAGCAAACACATCACAAGTAAGTTTCTGAGAATGCTCCGTCTAGTTTTTATGGGAAGATATTTCCTTTTTCAACATAGGCCTGAAAGCGCTCCAAATGTCCACTTCCAGATACTACAAAAAGAGTGTTTCAAATCTGCTCTATGAATGGGAATGTTCTACTCTGTGACTTGAATGCAACATCCCAAAGAAGTTTCTGAGAATGCTTTCTGTCTAGAGTTTATCTGAAGACATACCCGTTTCCAACGAAATCCTCAAAGCTATCCAAATATCCTCTTGCAGATTCTACAAAAAGAGTGTTTCAAAGCTGCTCTTTGCAAAGAAAGGTTCAACTCTGTCAGTAGAGGGCACACATCATGAACAAGTTTCTGAGAATGCTTCTGTCTAGTTTTTATGGGAAGATATTTCCTTTTTCACGTTAGGCCTGAAAGCACGCCAAATGTTCACTTATAGACACTACAAAAAGAGTGTTTCAAACCTGCTCTGTGAAAGGGAATGTTCAACACTGTGACTTCAATTGAAACATCCCAAAGAAGTTTCTGAGAATGCTTCTGTCTAGAGTTTATCTGAAGACATTCCCGTTTCCCAAGAAATCCTCAAAGCTATCCAAATATCCTCTTGCAGATTCTACAAAAAGAGTGTTTCAAAACTGCTCTTTGCAAAGAAAGGTTCAACTCTGTCAGTAGAGGGCACACATCACAAACAAGTTTCTGAGAATGCTTCTGTCTAGTTTTTATGGGAAGATATTTCCTTTTTCACCATAGGCCTGAAAGCAATCCAAATGTTCACTTACAGACACTACAAAAAGAGTGTTTCAAACCTGCTCTGTGAAAGGGAGTGTTCAATTCTGTGACTTGAATGCAAACATCACAAAGTAGTTTCTGACAATGCTGCTGTCTGCTTTTTATACGTATTCCCGTTTCCAACGAAATCCTCCAAGCTGGCCTAATACCCACTTGCATATTCCACAAAAAGAGTGTTTCAAAACTGCTCTCTCAAAAGAAAGGTTCAACTCTGTTTGCTGAGTAGATACATCATGAAAAAAGTTCTGACATTGCTCTATCTAGTTTTTATTGGAAGATATCTGCTTTTTCACCGTAGACCTGAAAGCCCTACAAATGTCCACTTATAGACACTACAAAAAGAGTGTTTCAAACCTGCTCTATGAAAGGGAGTGTTCAACACTGTGACTTCAATTGAAACATCCGAAAGCAGTTTCTGAGAATGCTTCTGTCTAGAGTTTACATGAAGACATTCCCGTTTCCAACGAAATCCTCAAAGCTATCCCAATATCCTCTTGCAGATTTTACAAAAAGTGTGTTTCAGAACTCCTCTATCAAAACAAAGGTTCAACACTGTCAGTTGAGGGCACACATCACAAATAAGTTTCTGGGAATGCTGCTGTCTGCTTTTTGTATGTAATCCCGTTTCCAACGAAATCCTCCCAGCTAGCCAAATATCCACTTGCAGATTCCGCAAAAAGAGTGTTTCAAAACTGCTCCATCAAAACGGTGGTTTAGTTCTGTTAGTTGAGTACATACATCACAGATAAGTTTCTGAGAATGCTTCTGTCTAGTTTTTATGGGAGGATATTTCCTTTTTCAACACAAGCCTGAATGCGCTCCGAATGGACACTTCCAGATATGACAAAAGGCGTGTTTCAAACCTGCTCTCTCAAAGGGAATGTTCAACTCTGTGACTTCAATGCAAACATCACAAAGAAGTTTCTGAGAATGCTGCTGTCTGCTTTTTACATGTATTCCCGTTTCCAACGAAATCCTCAAAGCTGCCCTAATATCCACTTGCATATTCCACAAAAAGAGTGTTGCAAAACTGCTCTCTCAAAAGAAAGGTTCAACTCTGTTAGCTGAGTAGATCCATCACAGAAAAGTTTCTGACGTTGCTTCTATCTAGATTTTCTTGGAAGATATTTCCATTTTCACCGTCGTCCTGAAAGCGCTCCAAATGTCCACTTCCAGGGAATGCAGAAAGAGTGTTTCCAACCTGCTCTATAAAAGGGAATGTTCAACACTGGGACTTCAATCGAAACATCCCAACGAAGTTTCTGAGAATGCTTCTGTCTAGAGTGTATATGAAGCCATTCCCGTTTGCAACGAAATCCTCAAAGCTATCCAAATATCCTCTTGCAGATTTTACAAAAAGAGTGTTTCAAAACTGCTCTATCAAAAGAAAGGTTCAACTCTGTTAGTTGAGGGCACACATCACAAATAAATTTCTGAGAATGCTTCTGTCTAGTTTTTACGGGAAGATATTTCCTTTTTCACCATACGCCTGAAAGCGCTCCAAATGTCCTCATCCAGATACTACAAAAAGAGTGTTTCCAACCTGCTCTATGAAAGGGAATGCTCAACTCTGTGACTTGAATGCAGACATCACAAAGAAGTTTCTGAGAATGCTGCTGTCTCCTTTTTATATGTAATCCCGTTTCCAACGAAATCCTCAAAGCTAGCCAAATATCCACTTGCAGATTCCACGAAAACAGTGTTTCAAAACTGCTCCTTCAAAACGATGGTTCAATCCTGTTAGTTGAGCAAACACATCACAAATAAGTTTCTGAGAATGCTTCCGTCTAGTTTTTATGGGAAGATATTTCCTTTTTCAACATAGGCCTGAAAGCGCTCCAAATGTCCACTTCCAGATACTACAAAAAGAGTGTTTCAAATCTGCTCTATGAATGGGAATGTTCTACTCTGTGACTTGCATGCAACATCCCAAAGAAGTTTCTGAGAATGCTTCTGTCTAGAGTTTATCTGAAGACATACCCGTTTCCAACGAAATCCTCAAACACTATCCAAATATCCTCTTGCAGATTCTACAAAAAGTGTGTTTCAAAGCTGCTCTTTGCAAAGAAAGGTTCAACTCTGTCAGTAGAGGGCACACATCACGAACAAGTTTCTGAGAATGCTTCTGTCTAGTTTTTATGGGAAGATATTTCCTTTTTCACGTTAGGCCTGAAAGCACGCCAAATGTTCACTTATAGACACTACAAAAAGAGTGTTTCAAACCTGCTCTGTGAAAGGGAATGTTCAACACTGTGACTTCAATTGAAACATCCCAAAGAAGTTTCTGAGAATGCTTCTGTCTAGAGTTTATCTGAAGACATTCCCGTTTCCCAAGAAATCCTCAAAGCTATCCAAATATCCTCTTGCAGATTCTACAAAAAGAGTGTTTCAAAACTGCTCTTTGCAAAGAAAGGTTCAACTCTGTCAGTAGAGGGCACACATCACAGACAAGTTTCTGAGAATGCTCTGTCTAGTTTTTATGGGAAGATATTTCCTTTTTCACCTTAGGCCTGAAAGCAATCCAAATGTTCACTTACAGACACTACAAAAAGAGTGTTTCAAACCTGCTCTGTGAAAGGGAGTGTTCAATTCTGTGACTTGAATGCAAACATCACAAAGTAGTTTCTGACAATGCTGGCTGTCTGCTTTTTATACGTATTCCCGTTTCCAACGAAATCCTCCAAGCTGGCCTAATACCCACTTGCATATTCCACAAAAAGAGTGTTTCAAAACTGCTCTCTCAAAAGAAAGGTTCAACTCTGTTTGCTGAGTAGATACATCATGAAAAAAGTTCTGACATTGCTTCTATCTAGTTTTTATTGGAAGATATCTCCTTTTTCACCGTAGACCTGAAAGCGCTCCAAATGTCCACTTCCAGATAGTACAAAAAGAGTGTTTCAAACCTGCTCTATGAATGGGAATGTTCAACACTGGGACTTCAATTGAAACGTCCCAAAGCAGTTTCTGAGAATGCTTCTGTCTAGAGTTTACATGAAGACATTCCCGTTTCCAACGAAATCCTCAAAGCTATCCAAATATCCTCTTGCAGATTTTACAAAAAGTGTGTTTCAGAACTGCTCTATCAAAACAAAGGTTCAACACTGTCAGTTGAGTGCACACATCACAAATAAGTTTCTGAGAATGCTTCTGTCTAGTTTTCATGGGAAGATATTTCCTTTTTCACCATAGGCCTGAAAGCGATCCAAATGTCCACATCCAGATACTACAAAAAGAGTGTTTCCAACCTGCTCTATGAAAGGGAATGCTCAACTCTGTAAATTGAATGCAGACATCACAAAGAAGTTTCTGAGAATGCTGCTGTCTCCTTTTTATATGTAATCCCGTTTCCAACGAAATCCTCAAAGCTAGCCAAATATCCACTTGCAGATTCCACGAAAACAGTGTTTCAAAACTGCTCCTTCAAAAGGATGGTTCAATCCTGTTAGTTGAGCAAACACATCACAAATAAGTTTCTGAGAATGCTTCCGTCTAGTTTTTATGGGAAGATATTTCCTTTTTCAACATAGGCCTGAAAGCGCTCCAAATGTCCACTTCCAGATACTACAAAAAGAGTGTTTCAAATCTGCTCTATGAATGGGAATGTTCTACTCTGTGACTTGAATGCAACATCCCAAAGAAGTTTCTGAGAATGCTTCTGTCTAGAGTTTATCTGAAGACATACCCGTTTCCAACGAAATCCTCAAAGCTATCCAAATATCCTCATGCAGATTCTACAAAAAGTGTGTTTCAAAGCTGCTCTTTGCAAAGAAAGGTTCAACTCTGTCAGTAGAGGGCACACATCACGAACAAGTTTCTGAGAATGCTTCTGTCTAGTTTTTATGGGAAGATATTTCCTTTTTCACGTTACGCCTGAAAGCACGCCAAATGTTCACTTATAGACACTACAAAAAGAGTGTTTCAAACCTGCTCTGTGAAAGGGAATGTTCAACACTGTGACTTCAATTGAAACATCCCAAAGAAGTTTCTGAGAATGCTTCTGTCTAGAGTTTATCTGAAGACATTCCCGTTTCCCAAGAAATCCTCAAAGCTATCCAAATATCCTCTTGCAGATTCTACAAAAAGAGTGTTTCAAAACTGCTCTTTGCAAAGAAAGGTTCAACTCTGTCAGTAGAGGGCACACATCACAAACAAGTTTCTGAGAATGCTTCTGTCTAGTTTTTATGGGAAGATATTTCCTTTTTCACCTTAGGCCTGAAAGCAATCCAAATGTTCACTTACAGACACTACAAAAAGAGTGTTTCAAACCTGCTCTGTGAAAGGGAGTGTTCAGTTCTGTGACTTGAATGCAAACATCACAAAGTAGTTTCTGACAATGCTGCTGTCTGCTTTTTATACGTATTCCCGTTTCCAACGAAATCCTCCAAGCTGGCCTAATACCCACTTGCATATTCCACAAAAAGAGTGTTTCAAAACTGCTCTCCCAAAAGAAAGGTTCAACTCTGTTTGCTGAGTAGATACATCATGAAAAAAGTTCTGACATTGCTTCTATCTAGTTTTTATTGGAAGATATCTCCTTTTTCACCGTAGACCTGAAAGCGCTCCAAATGTCCACTTCCAGATAGTACAAAAAGAGTGTTTCAAACCTGCTCTATGAATGGGAATGTTCAACACTGGGACTTCAATTGAAACATCCCAAAGCAGTTTCTGAGAATGCTTCTGTGTAGAGTTTACATGAAGACATTCCCGTTTCCAACGAAATCCTCAAAGCTATCCAAATATCCTCTTGCAGATTTTACAAAAAGTGTGTTTCAGAACTGCTCTATCAAAACAAAGGTTCAGCACTGTCAGTTGAGGGCACACATCACAAATAAGTTTCTGAGAATGCTGCTGTCTGCTTTTTGTATGTAATCCCGTTTCCAACGAAATCCTCCCAGCTAGCCAAATATCCACTTGCAGATTCCGCAAAAAGAGTGTTTCAAAACTGCTCCTTCAAAACGATGGTTTAGTTCTGTTAGTTGAGTACATACATCACAGATAAGTTTCTGAGAATGCTTCTGTCTAGTTTTTATGGGAGGATATTTCCTTTTTCAACACAAGCCTGAATGCGCTCCGAATGGACACTTCCAGATATGACAAAAGGCGTGTTTCAAACCTGCTCTCTCAAAGGGAATGTTCAACTCTGTGACTTCAATGCAAACATCACAAAGAAGTTTCTGAGAATGCTGCTGTCTGCTTTTTACATGTATTCCCGTTTCCAACGAAATCCTCAAAGCTGCCCTAATATCCACTTGCATATTCCACAAAAAGAGTGTTGCAAAACTGCTCTCTCAAAAGAAAGGTTCAACTCTGTTAGCTGAGTAGATCCATCACAGAAAAGTTTCTGACGTTGCTTCTATCTAGATTTTCTTGGAAGATATTTCCATTTTCACCGTCGTCCTGAAAGCGCTCCAAATGTCCACTTCCAGGGAATGCAGAAAGAGTGTTTCCAACCTGCTCTATAAAAGGGAATGTTCAACACTGGGACTTCAATCGAAACATCCCAACGAAGTTTCTGAGAATGCTTCTGTCTAGAGTTTATATGAAGCCATTCCCGTTTGCAACGAAATCCTCAAAGCTATCCAAATATCCTCTTGCAGATTTTACAAAAAGAGTGTTTCAAAACTGCTCTATCAAAAGAAAGGTTCAACTCTGTTAGTTGAGGGCACACATCACAAATAAACTTCTGAGAATGCTTCTGTCTAGTTTTTACGGGAAGATATTTCCTTTTTCACCATACGCCTGAAAGCGCTCCAAATGTCCTCATCCAGATACTACAAAAAGAGTGTTTCCAACGTGCTCTAGGAAAGGGAATGCTCAACTCTGTGAATTGAATGCAGACATCACAAAGAAGTTTCTGAGAATGCTGCTGTCTCCTTTTTATATGTAATCCCGTTTCCAACGAAATCCTCAAAGCTAGCCAAATATCCACTTGCAGATTCCACGAAAACAGTGTTTCAAAACTGCTCCTTCAAAACGATGGTTCAATCCTGTTAGTTGAGCAAACACATCACAAATAAGTTTCTGAGAATGCTTCCGTCTAGTTTTTATGGGAAGATATTTCCTTTTTCAACATAGGCCTGAAAGCGCTCCAAATGTCCACTTCCAGATACTACAAAAAGAGTGTTTCAAATCTGCTCTATGAATGGGAATGTTCTACTCTGTGACTTGAATGCAACATCCCAAAGAAGTTTCTGAGAATGCTTCTGTCTAGAGTTTATCTGAAGACATACCCGTTTCCAAAGAAATCCTCAAAGCTATCCAAATATCCTCTTGCAGATTCTACAAAAAGAGTGTTTCAAAGCTGCTCTTTGCAAAGAAAGGTTCAACTCTGTCAGTAGAGGGCACACATCATGAACAAGTTTCTGAGAATGCTTCTGTCTAGTTTTTATGGGAAGATATTTCCTTTTTCACGTTAGGCCTGAAAGCACGCCAAATGTTCACTTATAGACACTACAAAAAGAGTGTTTCAAACCTGCTCTGTGAAAGGGAATGTTCAACACTGTGACTTCAATTGAAACATCCCAAAGAAGTTTCTGAGAATGCTTCTGTCTAGAGTTTATCTGAAGACATTCCCGTTTCCCAAGAAATCCTCAAAGCTATCCAAATATCCTCTTGCAGATTCTACAAAAAGAGTGTTTCAAAACTGCTCTTTGCAAAGAAAGGTTCAACTCTGTCAGTAGAGGGCACACATCACAAACAAGTTTCTGAGAATGCTTCTGTCTAGTTTTTATGGGAAGATATTTCCTTTTTCACCTTAGGCCTGAAAGCAATCCAAATGTTCACTTACAGACACTACAAAAAGAGTGTTTCAAACCTGCTCTGTGAAAGGGAGTGTTCAATTCTGTGACTTGAATGCAAACATCACAAAGTAGTTTCTGACAATGCTGCTGTCTGCTTTTTATACGTATTCCCGTTTCCAACGAAATCCTCCAAGCTGGCCTAATACCCACTTGCATATTCCACAAAAAGAGTGTTTCAAAACTGCTCTCTCAAAAGAAAGGTTCAACTCTGTTTGCTGAGTAGATACATCATGAAAAAAGTTCTGACATTGCTTCTATCTAGTTTTTATTGGAAGATATCTCCTTTTTCACCGTAGACCTGAAAGCGCTCCAAATGTCCACTTCCAGATAGTACAAAAAGAGTGTTTCAAACCTGCTCTATGAATGGGAATGTTCAACACTGGGACTTCAATTGAAACATCCCAAAGCAGTTTCTGAGAATGCTTCTGTCTAGAGTTTACATGAAGACATTCCCGTTTCCAACGAAATCCTCAAAGCTATCCAAATATCCTCTTGCAGATTTTACAAAAAGTGTGTTTCAGAACTGCTCTATCAAAACAAAGGTTCAACACTGTCAGTTGAGGGCACACATCACAAATAAGTTTCTGAGAATGCTTCTGTCTAGTTTTCATGGGAAGATATTTCCTTTTTCACCATAGGCCTGAAAGCGATCCAAATGTCCACATCCAGATACTACAAAAAGAGTGTTTCAAACCTGCTCTATGAAAGGGAATGTTCAACTCTGTGACTTGAATGCAAACATCACAAAGAAGTTTCTGAGAATGCTGCTGTCTGCTTTTTGTATGTAATCCCGTTTCCAACGAAATCCTCCCAGCTAGCCAAATATCCACTTGCAGATTCCGCAAAAAGAGTGTTTCAAAACTGCTCCTTCAAAACGATGGTTTAGTTGCTGTTAGTTGAGTACATACATCACAGATAAGTTTGCTGAGAATGCTTCTGTCTAGTTTTTATGGGAGGATATTTCCTTTTTCAACACAAGCCTGAATGCGCTCCGAATGGACACTTCCAGATATGACAAAAGGCGTGTTTCAAACCTGCTCTCTCAAAGGGAATGTTCAACTCTGTGACTTCAATGCAAACATCACAAAGAAGTTTCTGAAAATGCTGCTGTCTGCTTTTTACATGTATTCCCGTTTCCAACGAAATCCTCAAAGCTGCCCTAATATCCACTTGCATATTCCACAAAAAGAGTGTTGCAAAACTGCTCTCTCAAAAGAAAGGTTCAACTCTGTTAGCTGAGTAGATCCATCACATAAAAGTTTCTGACATTGCTTCTATCTAGATTTTCTTGGAAGATATTTCCATTTTCACCGTCGTCCTGAAAGCGCTCCAAATGTCCACTTCCAGGGAATGCAGAAAGAGTGTTTCCAACCTGCTCTATAAAAGGGAATGTTCAACACTGGGACTTCAATCGAAACATCCCAACGAAGTTTCTGAGAATGCTTCTGTCTAGAGTTTATATGAAGCCATTCCCGTTTGCAACGAAATCCTCAAAGCTATCCAAATATCCTCTTGCAGATTTTACAAAAAGAGTGTTTCAAAACTGCTCTATCAAAAGAAAGGTTCAACTCTGTTAGTTGAGGGCACACATCACAAATAAATTTCCTGAGAATGCTTCTGTCTAGTTTTCAGGGGAAGATATTTCCTTTTTCACCATAGGCCTGAAAGCGCTCCAAATGTCCACATCCAGATACTACAAAAAGAGTGTTTCAAACCTGCTCTATGAAAGGGAATGTTAAACTCTGTGACTTGAATGCAAACATCACAAAGAAGTTTCTGGGAATGCTGCTGTCTGCTTTTATATGTAATCCCGTTTCCAACGAAATCCTCAATGCTAGACAAATATCGACTTGCAGATTCCAGAAAAAGAGTGTTTCAAAATTGCTCTTTCAAAACGATGGTTCAATTCTGTTAGTTGAGTACACACATCACAAATAAGTTTCAGAGAATGCTTCCGTCTAGTTTTTATGGGAAGATATTTCCTTTTTCAACATAGGCCTGAAAGCGCTCCAAATGTCCACTTCCAGATACTACAAAAAGAGTGTTTCAAATCTGCTCTATGAATGGGAATGTTCTACTCTGTGACTTGAATGCAACATCCCAAAGAAGTTTCTGAGAATGCTTCTGTCTAGAGTTTATCTGAAGACATACCCGTTTCCAACGAAATCCTCAAAGCTATCCAAATATCCTCTTGCAGATTCTACAAAAAGAGTGTTTCAAAGCTGCTCTTTGCAAAGAAAGGTTCAACTCTGTCAGTAGAGGGCACACATCATGAACAAGTTTCTGAGAATGCTTCTGTCTAGTTTTTATGGGAAGATATTTCCTTTTTCACGTTAGGCCTGAAAGCACGCCAAATGTTCACTTATAGACACTACAAAAAGAGTGTTTCAAACCTGCTCTGTGAAAGGGAATGTTCAACACTGTGACTTCAATTGAAACATCCCAAAGAAGTTTCTGAGAATGCTTCTGTCTAGAGTTTATCTGAAGACATTCCCGTTTCCCAAGAAATCCTCAAAGCTATCCAAATATCCTCTTGCAGATTCTACAAAAAGAGTGTTTCAAAACTGGTCTTTGCAAAGAAAGGTTCAACTCTGTCAGTAGAGGGCACACATCACAAACAAGTTTCTGAGAATGCTTCTGTCTAGTTTTTATGGGAAGATATTTCCTTTTTCACGTTACGCCTGAAAGCACGCCAAATGTTCACTTATAGACACTACAAAAAGAGAGTTTCAAACCTGCTCTGTGAAAGGGAGTGTTCAATTCTGTGACTTGAATGCAAACATCACAAAGTAGTTTCTGACAATGCTGCTGTCTGCTTTTTATACGTATTCCCGTTTCCAACGAAATCCTCCAAGCTGGCCTAATACCCACTTGCATATTCCACAAAAAGAGTGTTTCAAAACTGCTCTCTCAAAAGAAAGGTTCAACTCTGTTAGCTGAGTAGATACATCATGAAAAAAGTTCTGACATTGCTTCTATCTAGTTTTTATTGGAAGATATCTCCTTTTTCACCGTAGACCTGAAAGCGCTCCAAATGTCCACTTCCAGATAGTACAAAAAGAGTGTTTCAAACCTGCTCTATGAATGGGAATGTTCAACACTGGGACTTCAATTGAAACATCCCAAAGCAGTTTCTGAGAATGCTTCTGTCTAGAGTTTACATGAAGACATTCCCGTTTCCAACGAAATCCTCAAAGCTATCCAAATATCCTCTTGCAGATTTTACAAAAAGAGTGTTTCAAAACTGCTCTATCAAAAGAAAGGTTCAACTCTGTTAGTTGAGGGCACACATCACAAATAAATTTCTGAGAATGCTGCTGTCTGCTTTTTGTATGTAATCCCGTTTCCAACGAAATCCTCCCAGCTAGCCAAATATCCACTTGCAGATTCCGCAAAAAGAGTGTTTCAAAACTGCTCCTTCAAAACGATGGTTTAGTTCTGTTAGTTGAGTACATACATCACAGATAAGTTTCTGAGAATGCTTCTGTCTAGTTTTTATGGGAGGATATTTCCTTTTTCAACACAAGCCTGAATGCGCTCCGAATGGACACTTCCAGATATGACAAAAGGCGTGTTTCAAACCTGCTCTCTCAAAGGGAATGTTCAACTCTGTGACTTCAATGCAAACATCACAAAGAAGTTTCTGAGAATGCTGCTGTCTGCTTTTTACATGTATTCCCGTTTCCAACGAAATCCTCAAAGCTGCCCTAATATCCACTTGCATATTCCACAAAAAGAGTGTTGCAAAACTGCTCTCTCAAAAGAAAGGTTCAACTCTGTTAGCTGAGTAGATCCATCACAGAAAAGTTTCTGACGTTGCTTCTATCTAGATTTTCTTGGAAGATATTTCCATTTTCACCGTCGTCCTGAAAGCGCTCCAAATGTCCACTTCCAGGGAATGCAGAAAGAGTGTTTCCAACCTGCTCTATAAAAGGGAATGTTCAACACTGGGACTTCAATCGAAACATCCCAACGAAGTTTCTGAGAATGCTTCTGTCTAGAGTTTATATGAAGCCATTCCCGTTTGCAATGAAATCCTCAAAGCTATCCAAATATCCTCTTGCAGATTTTACAAAAAGAGTGTTTCAAAACTGCTCTATCAAAAGAAAGGTTCAACTCTGTTAGTTGAGGGCACACATCACAAATAAATTTCTGAGAATGCTTCTGTCTAGTTTTTACGGGAAGATATTTCCCTTTTCACCATACGCCTGAAAGCGCTCCAAATGTCCTCATCCAGATACTACAAAAAGAGTGTTTCCAACCTGCTCTATGAAAGGGAATGCTCAACTCTGTGAATTAAATGCAGACATCACAAAGAAGTTTCTGAGAATGCTGCTGTCTCCTTTTTATATGTAATCCCGTTTCCAACGAAATCCTCAAAGCTAGCCAAATATCCACTTGCAGATTCCACGAAAACAGTGTTTCAAAACTGCTCCTTCAAAAGGATGGTTCAATCCTGTTAGTTGAGCAAACTCATCACAATTAAGTTTCTGAGAATGCTTCTGTCTAGTTTTTATGGGAAAATATATCCTTTTTCAACATAGGCCTGAAAGCGCTCCAAATGTCCACTTCCAGATACTACAAAAAGAGTGTTTCAAACCTGCTCTATGAATGGGAATGTTCTACTCTGTGACTTGAATGCAACATCCCAAAGAAGTTTCTGAGAATGCTTCTGTCTAGAGTTTATCTGAAGACATACCCGTTTCCAACGAAATCCTCAAAGCTATCCAAATATCCTCTTGCAGATTCTACAAAAAGAGTGTTTCAAAGCTGCTCTTTGCAAAGAAAGGTTCACCTCTGTCAGTAGAGGGCACACATCACAAACAAGTTTCTGAGAATGCTTCTGTCTAGTTTTTATGGGAAGATATTTCCTTTTTCACGTGAGGCCTGAAAGCACTCCAAATGTTCACTTATAGAAACTACAAAAAGAGTGTTTCAAACCTGCTCTGTGAAAGGGAATCTTCAAAACTGTGACTTCAATTGAAACATCCCAAAGGAGTTTCTGAGAATGCTTCTGTCTAGAGTTTATCTGAAGACATTCCCGTTTCCCAAGAAATACTCAAAGCTATCCAAGTATCCTCTTGCAGATTCTACAAAAAGAGGGTTTCAAAACTGCTCTTTGCAAAGAAAGGTTCAACTCTGTCAGTAGAGGGCACACATCACAAACAAGTTTCTGAGAATGCTTCTGTCTAGTTTTTATGGGAAGATATTTCCTTTTTCATGTTAGGCCTGAAATCACGCCAAATGTTCACTTCGAGACATTACAAAAAGAGTGTTTCAAACCTGCTCTGTGAAAGGGAATGTTTAACACTGTGACTTCAATTGAAACATCCCAAAGAAGATTCTGAGAATGCTGCTGTCTGCTTTTTATACGTATTCCCGTTTCCAACGAAATCCTCCAAGCTGGCCTAATACCCACTTGCATATTCCACAAAAAGAGTGTTTCAAAACTGCTCTCTCAAAAGAAAGGTTCAACTCTGTTTGCTGAGTAGATACATCATGAAAAAAGTTCTGACATTGCTTCTATCTAGTTTTTATTGGAAGATATCTCCTTTTTCATCGTAGACCTGAAAGCGCTCCAAATGTCCACTTCCAGATAGTACAAAAAGAGTGTTTCAAACCTGCTCTATGAAAGGGAATGTTCAACACTGGGACTTCAATTGAAACATCCCAAAGCAGTTTCTGAGAATGCTTCTGTGTAGAGTTTACATGAAGACATTCCCGTTTCCAACGAAATCCTCAAAGCTATCCAAATATCCTCTTGCAGATTTTACAAAAAGTGTGTTTCAGAACTGCTCTATCAAAACAAAGGTTCAACACTGTCAGTTGAGGGCACACATCACAAATAAGTTTCTGAGAATGCTGCTGTCTGCTTTTTGTATGTAATCCCGTTTCCAACGAAATCCTCCCAGCTAGCCAAATATCCACTTGCAGATTCCGCAAAAAGAGTGTTTCAAAACTGCTCCTTCAAAACGATGGTTTAGTTCTGTTAGTTGAGTACATACATCACAGATAAGTTTCTGAGAATGCTTCTGTCTAGTTTTTATGGGAGGATATTTCCTTTTTCAACACAAGCCTGAATGCGCTCCGAATGGACACTTCCAGATATGACAAAAGGCGTGTTTCAAACCTGCTCTCTCAAAGGGAATGTTCAACTCTGTGACTTCAATGCAAACATCACAAAGAAGTTTCTGAGAATGCTGCTGTCTGCTTTTTACATGTATTCCCGTTTCCAACGAAATCCTCAAAGCTGCCCTAATATCCACTTGCATATTCCACAAAAAGAGTGTTGCAAAACTGCTCTCTCAAAAGAAAGGTTCAACTCTGTTAGCTGAGTAGATCCATCACATAAAAGTTTCTGACATTGCTTCTATCTAGATTTTCTTGGAAGATATTTCCATTTTCACCGTCGTCCTGAAAGCGCTCCAAATGTCCACTTCCAGGGAATGCAGAAAGAGTGTTTCCAACCTGCTCTATAAAAGGGAATGTTCAACACTGGGACTTCAATCGAAACATCCCAACGAAGTTTCTGAGAATGCTTCTGTCTAGAGTTTATATGAAGCCATTCCCGTTTGCAACGAAATCCTCAAAGCTATCCAAATATCCTCTTGCAGATTTTACAAAAAGAGTGTTTCAAAACTGCTCTATCAAAAGAAAGGTTCAACTCTGTTAGTTGAGGGCACACATCACAAATAAACTTCTGAGAATGCTTCTGTCTAGTTTTTACAGGGAAGATATTTCCTTTTTCACCATACGCCTGAAAGCGCTCCAAATGTCCTCATCCAGATACTACAAAAAGAGTGTTTCCAACCTGCTCTATGAAAGGGAATGCTCAACTCTGTGAATTGAATGCAGACATCACAAAGAAGTTTCTGAGAATGCTGCTGTCTCCTTTTTATATGTAATCCCGTTTCCAACGAAATCCTCAAAGCTAGCCAAATATCCACTTGCAGATTCCACGAAAACAGTGTTTCAAAACTGCTCCTTCAAAACGATGGTTCAATCCTGTTAGTTGAGCAAACACATCACAAATAAGTTTCTGAGAATGCTTCCGTCTAGTTTTTATGGGAAGATATTTCCTTTTTCAACATAGGCCTGAAAGCGCTCCAAATGTCCACTTCCAGATACTACAAAAAGAGTGTTTCAAATCTGCTCTATGAATGGGAATGTTCTACTCTGTGACTTGAATGCAACATCCCAAAGAAGTTTCTGAGAATGCTTCTGTCTAGAGTTTATCTGAAGACATACCCGTTTCCAACGAAATCCTCCAAGCTATCCAAATATCCTCTTGCAGATTCTACAAAAAGTGTGTTTCAAAGCTGCTCTTTGCAAAGAAAGGTTCAACTCTGTCAGTAGAGGGCACACATCACGAACAAGTTTCTGAGAATGCTTTCCGTCTACTTTTTATGGGAAGATATTTCCTTTTTCACGTTACGCCTGAAAGCACGCCAAATGTTCACTTATAGACACTACAAAAAGAGTGTTTCAAACCTGCTCTGTGAAAGGGAATGTTCAACACTGTGACTTCAATTGAAACATCCCAAAGAAGTTTCTGAGAATGCTTCTGTCTAGAGTTTATCTGAAGACATACCCGTTTCCAACGAAATCCTCAAAGCTATCCAAATATCCTCTTGCAGATTCTACAAAAAGAGTGTTTCAAAGCTGCTCTTTGCAAAGAAAGGTTCAACTCTGTCAGTAGAGGGCACACATCATGAACAAGTTTCTGAGAATGCTTCTGTCTAGTTTTTATGGGAAGATATTTCCTTTTTCACGTTAGGCCTGAAAGCACGCCAAATGTTCACTTATAGACACTACAAAAAGAGTGTTTCAAACCTGCTCTGTGAAAGGGAATGTTCAACACTGTGACTTCAATTGAAACATCCCAAAGAAGTTTCTGAGAATGCTTCTGTCTAGAGTTTATCTGAAGACATTCCCGTTTCCCAAGAAATCCTCAAAGCTATCCAAATATCCTCTTGCAGATTCTACAAAAAGAGTGTTTCAAAACTGCTCTTTGCAAAGAAAGGTTCAACTCTGTCAGTAGAGGGCACACATCACAAACAAGTTTCTGAGAATGCTTCTGTCTAGTTTTTATGGGAAGATATTTCCTTTTTCACCTTAGGCCTGAAAGCAATCCAAATGTTCACTTACAGACACTACAAAAAGAGTGTTTCAAACCTGCTCTGTGAAAGGCAGTGTTCCATTCTGTGACTTGCATGCAAACATCACAAAGTAGTTTCTGACAATGCTGCTGTCTGCTTTTTATACGTATTCCCGTTTCCAACGAAATCCTCCAAGCTGGCCTAATACCCACTTGCATATTCCACAAAAAGAGTGTTTCAAAACTGCTCTCTCAAAAGAAAGGTTCAACTCTGTTAGCTGAGTAGATACATCATGAAAAAAGTTCTGACATTGCTTCTATCTAGTTTTTATTGGAAGATATCTCCTTTTTCACCGTAGACCTGAAAGCGCTCCAAATGTCCACTTCCAGATAGTACAAAAAGAGTGTTTCAAACCTGCTCTATGAAAGGGAATGTTCAACACTGGGACTTCAATTGAAACATCCCAAAGCAGTTTCTGAGAATGCTTCTGTCTAGAGTTTACATGAAGACATTCCCGTTTCCAACGAAATCCTCAAAGCTATCCAAATATCCTCTTGCAGATTTTACAAAAAGTGTGTTTCAGAACTGCTCTATCAAAACAAAGGTTCAACACTGTCAGTTGAGGGCACACATCACAAATAAGTTTCTGAGAATGCTGCTGTCTGCTTTTTGTATGTAATCCCGTTTCCAACGAAATCCTCCCAGCTAGCCAAATATCCACTTGCAGATTCCGCAAAAAGAGTGTTTCAAAACTGCTCCTTCAAAACGATGGTTTAGTTCTGTTAGTTGAGTACATACATCACAGATAAGTTTCTGAGAATGCTTCTGTCTAGTTTTTATGGGAGGATATATCCTTTTTCAACACAAGCCTGAATGCGCTCCGAATGGACACTTCCAGATATGACAAAAGGCGTGTTTCAAACCTGCTCTCTCAAAGGGAATGTTCAACTCTGTGACTTCAATGCAAACATCACAAAGAAGTTTCTGAGAATGCTGCTGTCTGCTTTTTACATGTATTCCCGTTTCCAACGAAATCCTCAAAGCTGCCCTAATATCCACTTGCATATTCCACAAAAAGAGTGTTGCAAAACTGCTCTCTCAAAAGAAAGGTTCAACTCTGTTAGCTGAGTAGATCCATCACAGAAAAGTTTCTGACGTTGCTTCTATCTAGATTTTCTTGGAAGATATTTCCATTTTCACCGTCGTCCTGAAAGCGCTCCAAATGTCCACTTCCAGGGAATGCAAAAAGAGTGTTTCCAACCTGCTCTATAAAAGGGAATGTTCAACACTGGGACTTCAATCGAAACATCCCAACGAAGTTTCTGAGAATGCTTCTGTCTAGAGTTTATATGAAGCCATTCCCGTTTGCAATGAAATCCTCAAAGCTATCCAAATATCCTCTTGCAGATTTTACAAAAAGAGTGTTTCAAAACTGCTCTATCAAAAGAAAGGTTCAACTCTGTTAGTTGAGGGCACACATCACAAATAAATTTCTGAGAATGCTTCTGTCTAGTTTTTACGGGAAGATATTTCCTTTTTCACCATACACCTGAAAGCGCTCCAAATGTCCTCATCCAGATACTACAAAAACAGTGTTTCAAACCTGCTCTATGAAAGGGAATGCTCAACTCTGTGACTTGAATGCAGACATCACAAAGAAGTTTCTGAGAATGCTGCTGTCTCCTTTTTATAGGTAATCCCGTTTCCAACGAAATCCTCAAAGCTAGCCAAATATCCACTTGCAGATTCCACGAAAACAGTGTTTCAAAAGTGCTCCTTCAAAACGATGGTTCAATTCTGTTAGTTGAGCAAACACATCACAAGTAAGTTTCTGAAAATGCTTCCGTCTAGTTTTTATGGGAAGATATTTCCTTTTTCAACATAGGCCTGAAAGCGCTCCAAATGTCCACTTCCAGATACTACAAAAAGAGTGTTTCAAATCTGCTCTATGAATGGGAATGTTCTACTCTGTGACTTGAATGCAACATCCCAAAGAAGTTTCTGAGAATGCTTCTGTCTAGAGTTTATCTGAAGACATACCCGTTTCCAACGAAATCCTCCAAGCTATCCAAATATCCTCTTGCAGATTCTACAAATGTGTGTTTCAAAGCTGCTCTTTGCAAAGAAAGGTTCAACTCTGTCAGTAGAGGGCACACATCACGAACAAGTTTCTGAGAATGCTTCTGTCTGGTTTTTATGGGAAGATATTTCCTTTTTCACGTTACGCCTGAAAGCACGCCAAATGTTCACTTATAGACACTACAAAAAGAGTGTTTCAAACCTGCTCTGTGAAAGGGAATGTTCAACACTGTGACTTCAATTGAAACATCCCAAAGAAGTTTCTGAGAATGCTTCTGTCTAGAGTTTATCTGAAGACATTCCCGTTTCCCAAGAAATCCTCAAAGCTATCCAAATATCCTCTTGCAGATTCTACAAAAAGAGTGTTTCAAAACTGCTCTTTGCAAAGAAAGGTTCAACTCTGTCAGTAGAGGGCACACATCAAGAACAAGTTTCTGAGAATGCTTCTGTCTAGTTTTTATGGGAAGATATTTCCTTTTTCACGTTACGCCTGAAAGCACGCCAAATGTTCACTTATAGACACTACAAAAAGAGAGTTTCAAACCTGCTACTGTGAAAGGGAGTGTTCAATTGCTGTGACTTGAATGCAAACATCACAAAGTAGTTTCTGACAATGCTGCTGTCTGCTTTTTATACGTATTCCCGTTTCCAACGAAATCCTCCAAGCTGGCCTAATACCCACTTGCATATTCCACAAAAAGAGTGTTTCAAAACTGCTCTCTCAAAAGAAATGTTCAACTCTGTTTGCTGAGTAGATACATCATGAAAAAAGTTCTGACATTGCTTCTATCTAGTTTTTATTGGAAGATATCTCCTTTTTCACCGTAGACCTGAAAGCGCTCCAAATGTCCACTTCCAGATATTACAAAAAGAGTGTTTCAAACCTGCTCTATGAATGGGAATGTTCAACACTGGGACTTCAATTGAAACATCCCAAAGCAGTTTCTGAGAATGCTTCTGTCTAGAGTTTACATGAAGACATTCCCGTTTCCAACGAAATCCTCAAAGCTATCCAAATATCCTCTTGCAGATTTTACAAAAAGTGTGTTTCAGAACTGCTCTATCAAAACAAAGGTTCAACACTGTCAGTTGAGGGCACACATCACAAATAAGTTTCTGAGAATGCTGCTGTCTGCTTTTTGTATGTAATCCCGTTTCCAACGAAATCCTCCCAGCTAGCCAAATATCCACTTGCAGATTCCGCAAAAAGAGTGTTTCAAAACTGCTCCTTCAAAACGATGGTTTAGTTCTGTTAGTTGAGTACATACATCACAGATAAGTTTCTGAGAATGCTTCTGTCTAGTTTTTATGGGAGGATATTTCCTTTTTCAACACAAGCCTGAATGCGCTCCGAATGGACACTTCCAGATATGACAAAAGGCGTGTTTCAAACCTGCTCTCTCAAAGGGAATGTTCAACTCTGTGACTTCAATGCAAACATCACAAAGAAGTTTCTGAGAATGCTGCTGTCTGCTTTTTACATGTATTCCCGTTTCCAACGAAATCCTCAAAGCTGCCCTAATATCCACTTGCATATTCCACAAAAAGAGTGTTGCAAAACTGCTCTCTCAAAAGAAAGGTTCAACTCTGTTAGCTGAGTAGATCCATCACATAAAAGTTTCTGACATTGCTTCTATCTAGATTTTCTTGGAAGATATTTCCATTTTCACCGTCGTCCTGAAAGCGCTCCAAATGTCCACTTCCAGGGAATGCAAAAAGAGTGTTTCCAACCTGCTCTATAAAAGGGAATGTTCAACACTGGGACTTCAATCGAAACATCCCAACGAAGTTTCTGAGAATGCTTCTGTCTAGAGTTTATATGAAGCCATTCCCGTTTGCAACGAAATCCTCAAAGCTATCCAAATATCCTCTTGCAGATTTTACAAAATGAGTGTTTCAAAACTGCTCTATCAAAAGAAAGTTTCAACTCTGTTAGTTGAGGGCACACATCACAAATAAACTTCTGAGAATGCTTCTGTCTAGTTTTTACGGGAAGATATTTCCTTTTTCACCATACGCCTGAAAGTGCTCCAAATGTCCTCATCCAGATACTACAAAAAGAGTGTTTCCAACCTGCTCTATGAAAGGGAATGCTCAACTCTGTGACTTGAATGCAGACATCACAAAGAAGTTTCTGAGAATGCTGCTGTCTCCTTTTTATATGTAATCCCGTTTCCAACGAAATCCTCAAAGCTAGCCAAATATCCACTTGCAGATTCCACGAAAACAGTGTTTCAAAACTGCTCCTTCAAAACGATGGTTCAATTCTGTTAGTTGAGCAAACACATCACAAGTAAGTTTCTGAGAATGCTTCCGTCTAGTTTTTATGGGAAGATATTTCCTTTTTCAACATAGGCCTGAAAGCGCTCCAAATGTCCACTTCCAGATACTACAAAAAGAGTGTTTCAAATCTGCTCTATGAATGGGAATGTTCTACTCTGTGACTTGAATGCAACATCCCAAAGAAGTTTCTGAGAATGCTTCTGTCTAGAGTTTATCTGAAGACATACCCGTTTCCAACGAAATCCTCAAAGCTATCCAAATATCCTCTTGCAGATTCTACAAAAAGAGTGTTTCAAAGCTGCTCTTTGCAAAGAAAGGTTCAACTCTGTCAGTAGAGGGCACACATCAAGAACAAGTTTCTGAGAATGCTTCTGTCTAGTTTTCATGGGAAGATATGTCCTTTTTCACGTTACGCCTGAAACCACGCCAAATGTTCACTTATAGACACTACAAAAAGAGTGTTTCAAACCTGCTCTGTGAAAGGGAATGTTCAACACTGTGACTTCAATTGAAACATCCCAAAGAAGTTTCTGAGAATGCTTCTGTCTAGAGTTTATCTGAAGACATTCCCGTTTCCCAAGAAATCCTCAAAGCTATCCAAATATCCTCTTGCAGATTCTACAAAAAGAGTGTTTCAAAACTGGTCTTTGCAAAGAAAGGTTCAACTCTGTCAGTAGAGGGCACACATCACAAACAAGTTTCTGAGAATGCTTCTGTCTAGTTTTTATGGGAAGATATTTCCTTTTTCACCTTAGGCCTGAAAGCAATCCAAATGTTCACTTACAGACACTACAAAAAGAGTGTTTCAAACCTGCTCTGTGAAAGGCAGTGTTCCATTCTGTGACTTGCATGCAAACATCACAAAGTAGTTTCTGACAATGCTGCTGTCTGCTTTTTATACGTATTCCCGTTTCCAACGAAATCCTCCAAGCTGGCCTAATACCCACTTGCATATTCCACAAAAAGAGTGTTTCAAAACTGCTCTCTCAAAAGAAAGGTTCAACTCTGTTTGCTGAGTAGATACATCATGAAAAAAGTTCTGACATTGCTTCTATCTAGTTTTTATTGGAAGATATCTCCTTTTTCACCGTAGACCTGAAAGCGCTCCAAATGTCCACTTCCAGATAGTACAAAAAGAGTGTTTCAAACCTGCTCTATGAATGGGAATGTTCAACACTGGGACTTCAATTGAAACATCCCAAAGCAGTTTCTGAGAATGCTTCTGTGTAGAGTTTACATGAAGACATTCCCGTTTCCAACGAAATCCTCAAAGCTATCCAAATATCCTCTTGCAGATTTTACAAAAAGTGTGTTTCAGAACTGCTCTATCAAAACAAAGGTTCAGCACTGTCAGTTGAGGGCACACATCACAAATAAGTTTCTGAGAATGCTTGCTGTCTGCTTTTTGTATGTAATCCCGTTTCCAACGAAATCCTCCCAGCTAGCCAAATATCCACTTGCAGATTCCGCAAAAAGAGTGTTTCAAAACTGCTCCTTCAAAACGATGGTTTAGTTCTGTTAGTTGAGTACATACATCACAGATAAGTTTCTGAGAATGCTTCTGTCTAGTTTTTATGGGAGGATATTTCCTTTTTCAACACAAGCCTGAATGCGCTCCGAATGGACACTTCCAGATATGACAAAAGGCGTGTTTCAAACCTGCTCTCTCAAAGGGAATGTTCAACTCTGTGACTTCAATGCAAACATCACAAAGAAGTTTCTGAGAATGCTGCTGTCTGCTTTTTACATGTATTCCCGTTTCCAACGAAATCCTCAAAGCTGCCCTAATATCCACTTGCATATTCCACAAAAAGAGTGTTGCAAAACTGCTCTCTCAAAAGAAAGGTTCAACTCTGTTAGCTGAGTAGATCCATCACAGAAAAGTTTCTGACGTTGCTTCTATCTAGATTTTCTTGGAAGATATTTCCATTTTCACCGTCGTCCTGAAAGCGCTCCAAATGTCCACTTCCAGGGAATGCAGAAAGAGTGTTTCCAACCTGCTCTATAAAAGGGAATGTTCAACACTGGGACTTCAATCGAAACATCCCAACGAAGTTTCTGAGAATGCTTCTGTCTAGAGTTTATATGAAGCCATTCCCGTTTGCAACGAAATCCTCAAAGCTATCCAAATATCCTCTTGCAGATTTTACAAAAAGAGTGTTTCAAAACTGCTCTATCAAAAGAAAGGTTCAACTCTGTTAGTTGAGGGCACACATCACAAATAAACTTCTGAGAATGCTTCTGTCTAGTTTTTACGGGAAGATATTTCCTTTTTCACCATAGGCCTGAAAGCGCTCCAAATGTCCTCATCCAGATACTACAAAAAGAGTGTTTCCAACCTGCTCTATGAAAGGGAATGCTCAACTCTGTGAATTGAATGCAGACATCACAAAGAAGTTTCTGAGAATGCTGCTGTCTCCTTTTTATATGTAATCCCGTTTCCAACGAAATCCTCAAAGCTAGCCAAATATCCACTTGCAGATTCCATGAAAACAGTGTTTCAAAACTGCTCCTTCAAAACGATGGTTCAATCCTGTTAGTTGAGCAAACACATCACAAATAAGTTTCTGAGAATGCTTCCGTCTAGTTTTTATGGGAAGATATATCCTTTTTCAACATAGGCCTGAAAGCGCTCCAAATGTCCACTTCCAGATACTACAAAAAGAGTGTTTCAAATCTGCTCTATGAATGGGAATGTTCTACTCTGTGACTTGAATGCAACATCCCAAAGAAGTTTCTGAGAATGCTTCTGTCTAGAGTTTATCTGAAGACATACCCGTTTCCAACGAAATCCTCAAAGCTATCCAAATATCCTCTTGCAGATTCTACAAAAAGAGTGTTTCAAAGCTGCTCTTTGCAAAGAAAGGTTCAACTCTGTCAGTAGAGGGCACACATCACGAACAAGTTTCTGAGAATGCTTCTGTCTAGTTTTTATGGGAAGATATTTCCTTTTTCACGTTACGCCTGAAAGCACGCCAAATGTTCACTTATAGACACTACAAAAAGAGTGTTTCAAACCTGCTCTGTGAAAGGGAATGTTCAACACTGTGACTTCAATTGAAACATCCCAAAGAAGTTTCTGAGAATGCTTCTGTCTAGAGTTTATCTGAAGACATTCCCGTTTCCCAAGAAATCCTCAAAGCTATCCAAATATCCTCTTGCAGATTCTACAAAAAGAGTGTTTCAAAACTGCTCTTTGCAAAGAAAGGTTCAACTCTGTCAGTAGAGGGCACACATCACAAACAAGTTTCTGAGAATGCTTCTGTCTAGTTTTTATGGGAAGATATTTCCTTTTTCACCTTAGGCCTGAAATCAATCCAAATGTTCACTTACAGACACTACAAAAAGAGTGTTTCAAACCTGCTCTGTGAAAGGGAGTGTTCAATTCTGTGACTTGAATGCAAACATCACAAAGTAGTTTCTGACAATGCTGCTGTCTGCTTTTTATACGTATTCCCGTTTCCAACGAAATCCTCCAAGCTGGCCTAATACCCACTTGCATATTCCACAAAAGGAGTGTTTCAAAACTGCTCTCTCAAAAGAAAGGTTCAACTCTGTTTGCTGAGTAGATACATCATGAAAAAAGTTCTGACATTGCTTCTATCTAGTTTTTATTGGAAGATATCTCCTTTTTCACCGTAGACCTGAAAGCGCTCCAAATGTCCACTTCCAGATAGTACAAAAAGAGTGTTTCAAACCTGCTCTATGAATGGGAATGTTCAACACTGGGACTTCAATTGAAACATCCCAAAGCAGTTTCTGAGAATGCTTCTGTCTAGAGTTTACATGAAGACATTCCCGTTTCCAACGAAATCCTCAAAGCTATCCAAATATCCTCTTGCAGATTTTACAAAAAGTGTGTTTCAGAACTGCTCTATCAAAACAAAGGTTCAACACTGTCAGTTGAGGGCACACATCACAAATAAGTTTCTGAGAATGCTGCTGTCTGCTTTTTGTATGTAATCCCGTTTCCAACGAAATCCTCCCAGCTAGCCAAATATCCACTTGCAGATTCCGCAAAAAGAGTGTTTCAAAACTGCTCCTTCAAAACGATGGTTTAGTTCTGTTAGTTGAGTACATACATCACAGATAAGTTTCTGAGAATGCTTCTGTCTAGTTTTTATGGGAGGATATTTCCTTTTTCAACACAAGCCTGAATGCGCTCCGAATGGACACTTCCAGATATGACAAAAGGCGTGTTTCAAACCTGCTCTCTCAAAGGGAATGTTCAACTCTGTGACTTCAATGCAAACATCACAAAGAAGTTTCTGAGAATGCTGCTGTCTGCTTTTTACATGTATTCCCGTTTCCAACGAAATCCTCAAAGCTGCCCTAATATCCACTTGCATATTCCACAAAAAGAGTGTTGCAAAACTGCTCTCTCAAAAGAAAGGTTCAACTCTGTTAGCTGAGTAGATCCATCACATAAAAGTTTCTGACATTGCTTCTATCTAGATTTTCTTGGAAGATATTTCCATTTTCACCGTCGTCCTGAAAGCGCTCCAAATGTCCACTTCCAGGGAATGCAGAAAGAGTGTTTCCAACCTGCTCTATAAAAGGGAATGTTCAACACTGGGACTTCAATCGAAACATCCCAACGAAGTTTCTGAGAATGCTTCTGTCTAGAGTTTATATGAAGCCATTCCCGTTTGCAACGAAATCCTCAAAGCTATCCAGATATCCTCTTGCAGATTTTACAAAAAGAGTGTTTCAAAACTGTTCTATCAAAAGAAAGGTTCAACTCTGTTAGTTGAGGGCACACATCACAAATAAACTTCTGAGAATGCTTCTGTCTAGTTTTTAAGGGAAGATATTTCCTTTTTCACCATACGCCTGAAAGCGCTCCAAATGTCCTCATCCAGATACTACAAAAAGAGTGTTTCCAACCTGCTCTATGAAAGGGAATGCTCAACTCTGTGAATTGAATGCAGACATCACAAAGAAGTTTCTGAGAATGCTGCTGTCTCCTTTTTATATGTAATCCCGTTTCCAACGAAATCCTCAAAGCTAGCCAAATATCCACTTGCAGATTCCACGAAAACAGTGTTTCAAAACTGCTCCTTCAAAACGATGGTTCAATCCTGTTAGTTGAGCAAACACATCACAAATAAGTTTCTGAGAATGCTTCCGTCTAGTTTTTATGGGAAGATATTTCCTTTTTCAACATAGGCCTGAAAGCGCTCCAAATGTCCACTTCCAGATACTACAAAAAGAGTGTTTCAAATCTGCTCTATGAATGGGAATGTTCTACTCTGTGACTTGAATGCAACATCCCAAAGAAGTTTCTGAGAATGCTTCTGTCTAGAGTTTATCTGAAGACATACCCGTTTCCAACGAAATCCTCAAAGCTATCCAAATATCCTCTTGCAGATTCTACAAAAAGAGTGTTTCAAAGCTGCTGCTTTGCAAAGAAAGGTTCAACTCTGTCAGTAGAGGGCACACATCATGAACAAGTTTCTGAGAATGCTTCTGTCTAGTTTTTATGGGAAGATATTTCCTTTTTCACGTTAGGCCTGAAAGCACGCCAAATGTTCACTTATAGACACTACAAAAAGAGTGTTTCAAACCTGCTCTGTGAAAGGGAATGTTCAACACTGTGACTTCAATTGAAACATCCCAAAGAAGTTTCTGAGAATGCTTCTGTCCAGAGTTTACATGAAGACATTCCCGTTTCCCAAGAAATCCTCAAAGCTATCCAAATATCCTCTTGCAGATTCTACAAAAAGAGTGTTTCAAAACTGCTCTTTGCAAAGAAAGGTTCAACTCTGTCAGTAGAGGGCACACATCACAAACAAGTTTCTGAGAATGCTTCTGTCTAGTTTTTATGGGAAGATATTTCCTTTTTCACCTTAGGCCTGAAAGCAATCCAAATGTTCACTTACAGACACTACAAAAAGAGTGTTTCAAACCTGCTCTGTGAAAGGGAGTGTTCAATTCTGTGACTTGAATGCAAACATCACAAAGTAGTTTCTGACAATGCTGCTGTCTGCTTTTTATACGTATTCCCGTTTCCAACGAAATCCTCCAAGCTGGCCTAATACCCACTTGCATATTCCACAAAAAGAGTGTTTCAAAACTGCTCTCTCAAAAGAAAGGTTCAACTCTGTTTGCTGAGTAGATACATCATGAAAAAAGTTCTGACATTGCTTCTATCTAGTTTTTATTGGAAGATATCTCCTTTTTCACCGTAGACCTGAAAGCGCTCCAAATGTCCACTTCCAGATAGTACAAAAAGAGTGTTTCAAACCTGCTCTATGAATGGGAATGTTCAACACTGGGACTTCAATTGAAACATCCCAAAGCAGTTTCTGAGAATGCTTCTGTGTAGAGTTTACATGAAGACATTCCCGTTTCCAACGAAATCCTCAAAGCTATCCAAATATCCTCTTGCAGATTTTACAAAAAGTGTGTTTCAGAACTGCTCTATCAAAACAAAGGTTCAACACTGTCAGTTGAGGGCACACATCACAAATAAGTTTCTGAGAATGCTGCTCTCTGCTTTTTGTATGTAATCCCGTTTCCAACGAAATCCTCCCAGCTAGCCAAATATCCACTTGCAGATTCCGCAAAAAGAGTGTTTCAAAACTGCTCCTTCAAAACGATGGTTTAGTTCTGTTAGTTGAGTACATACATCACAGATAAGTTTCTGAGAATGCTTCTGTCTAGTTTTTATGGGAGGATATTTCCTTTTTCAACACAAGCCTGAATGCGCTCCGAATGGACACTTCCAGATATGACAAAAGGCGTGTTTCAAACCTGCTCTCTCAAAGGGAATGTTCAACTCTGTGACTTCAATGCAAACATCACAAAGAAGTTTCTGAGAATGCTGCTGTCTGCTTTTTACATGTATTCCCGTTTCCAACGAAATCCTCAAAGCTGCCCTAATATCCACTTGCATATTCCACAAAAAGAGTGTTGCAAAACTGCTCTCTCAAAAGAAAGGTTCAACTCTGTTAGCTGAGTAGATCCATCACATAAAAGTTTCTGACATTGCTTCTATCTAGATTTTCTTGGAAGATATTTCCATTTTCACCGTCGTCCTGAAAGCGCTCCAAATGTCCACTTCCAGGGAATGCAGAAAGAGTGTTTCCAACCTGCTCTATAAAAGGGAATGTTCAACACTGGGACTTCAATCGAAACATCCTAACGAAGTTTCTGAGAATGCTTCTGTCTAGAGTTTATATGAAGCCATTCCCGTTTGCAACGAAATCCTCAAAGCTATCCAAATATCCTCTTGCAGATTTTACAAAAAGAGTGTTTCAAAACTGCTCTATCAAAAGAAAGGTTCAACTCTGTTAGTTGAGGGCACACATCACAAATAAATTTCTGAGAATGCTTCTGTCTAGTTTTCATGGGAAGATATTTCCTTTTTCAACATAGGCCTGAAAGCGATCCAAATGTCCACATCCAGATACTACAAAAAGAGTGTTGCAAACCTGCTCTATGAAAGGGAATGTTCAACTCTGCGACTTGAATGCAAACATCACAAAGAAGTTTCTGAGAATGCTGCTGTCTGCTTTTTGTATGTAATCCCGTTTCCAACGAAATCCTCCAAGCTAGCCAAATATCCAGTTGCAGATTCCGCAAAAAGCGTGTTTCAAAACTGCTCCTTCAAAACGATGGTTTAGTTCTGTTAGTTGAGTACATACATCAGAAATAAGTTTCTGAGAATGCTTCTGTCTAGTTTTTATGGGAGGATATTTCCTTTTTCAACACAAGCCTGAATGCGCTCCGAATGGACACTTCCAGATATGACAAAAGGCGTGTTGCAAACCTGCTCTCTCAAAGGGAATGTTCAACTCTGTGACTTCAATGCAAACATCACAAAGAAGTTTCTGAGAATGCTGCTGTCTGCTTTTTACATGTATTCCCGTTTCCAACGAAATCCTCAAAGCTGCCCTAATATCCACTTGCATATTCCACAAAAAGAGTGTTGCAAAACTGCTCTCTCAAAGGAAAGGTTCAACTCTGTTAGCTGAGTAGATCCATCACAGAAAAGTTTCTGACGTTGCTCTATCCAGATTTTATTGGAAGATATTTCCATTTTCACCGTCGTCCTGAAAGCGCTCCAATTGTCCACTTCCAGGGAATGCAGAAAGAGTGTTTCCAACCTGCTCTATAAAAGGGAATGTTCAACACTGGGACTTCAATCGAAACATCCCGACGAAGTTTCTGAGAATGCTTTCTGTCTAGAGTTTATATGAAGCCATTCCCGTTTGCAATGAAATCCTCAAAGCTATCCAAATATCCTCTTGCAGATTTTACAAAAAGAGTGTTTCAAAACTGCTCTATCAAAAGAAAGGTTCAACTCTGTTAGTTGAGGGCACACATCACAAATAAATTTCTGAGAATGCTTCTGTCTAGTTTTTACGGGAAGATATTTCCTTTTTCACCATACGCCTGAAAGCGCTCCAAATGTCCTCATCCAGATACTACAAAAAGAGTGTTTCCAACCTGCTCTATGAAAGGGAATGCTCAACTCTGTGACTTGAATGCAGACATCACAAAGAAGTTTCTGAGAATGCTCTGTCTCCTTTTTATATGTAATCCCGTTTCCAACGAAATCCTCAAAGCTAGCCAAATATCCACTTGCAGATTCCACGAAAACAGTGTTTCAAAACTGCTCCTTCAAAACGATGGTTCAATTCTGTTAGTTGAGCAAACACATCACAAGTAAGTTTCTGAGAATGCTTTCCGTCTAGTTTTTATGGGAAGATATTTCCTTTTTCATCATAGGCCTGAAAGCGCTCCAAATGTCCACTTCCAGATACTACAAAAAGAGTGTTTCATATCGGCTCTATGAATGGGAATGTTCTACTCTGTGACTTGAATGCAACATCCCAAAGAAGTTTCTGAGAATGCTTCTGTCTAGAGTTTATCTGAAGACATACCCGTTTCCAACGAAATCCTCAAAGCTATCCAAATATCCTCTTGCAGATTCTACAAAAAGAGTGTTTCAAAGCTGCTCTTTGCAAAGAAAGGTTCAACTCTGTCAGTAGAGGGCACACATCACAAACAAGTTTCTGAGAATGCTTCTGTCTAGTTTTTATGGGAAGATATTTCCTTTTTCACGTTACTCCTGAAAGCACGCCAAATGTTCACTTATAGACACTACAAAAAGAGTTTTTCAAACCTGCTCTGTGAAAGGGAATGTTCAACACTGTGACTTCAATTGAATCATCCCAAAGAAGTTTTTGAGAATGCTTCTGTCTAGAGTTTATCTGAAGACATTCCCGTTTCCCAAGAAATCCTCAAAGCTATCCAAATATCCTCCTGCAGATTCTACAAAAAGAGTGTTTCAAAACTGCTCTTTGCAAAGAAAGGTTCAACTCTGTCAGTAGAGGGCACACATCACAAACAAGTTTCTGAGAATGCTTCTGTCTAGTTTTTATGGGAAGATATTTCCTTTTTCATCTTAGGCCTGAAAGCAATCCAAATGTTCACTTACAGACACTACAAAAAGAGTGTTTCAAACCTGCTCTGTGAAAGGGAGTGTTCAATTCTGTGACTTGAATGCAAACATCACAAAGTAGTTTCTGAAAATGCTGCTGTCTGCTTTTTATACGTATTCCCGTTTCCAACGAAATCCTCCAATCTGGCCTAATACCCACTTGCATATTCCACAAAAAGAGTGTTTCAAAACTGCTCTCTCAAAAGAAAGGTTCAACTCTGTTTGCTGAGTAGATACATCATGAAAAAAGTTCTGACATTGCTTCTATCTAGTTTTTATTGGAAGATATCTCCTTTTCCACCGTAGACCTGAAAGCGCTCCAAATGTCCACTTCCAGATACTACAAAAAGAGTGTTTCAAACCTGTTCTATGAAAGGGAATGTTCAACTCTGTGACTTGAATGCAAACATCACAAAGAAGTTTCTGAGAATGCTGCTGTCTGCTTTTTGTATGTAATCCCGCTTCCAACGAAATCCTCCAAGCTAGCCAAATATCCAGTTGCAGATTCCGCAAAAAGAGTCTTTCAAAACTGCTCCTTCAAAACGATGGTTTAGTTCTGTTAGTTGAGTACATACATCACAAATAAGTTTCTGAGAATGCTTCTGTCTAGTTTTTATGGGAGGATATTTCCTTTCTCAACACAACCCTGAATGCGCTCCGAATGGACACTTCCAGATATGACAAAAGGCGTGTTTCAAACCTGCTCTCTCAAAGGGAATGTTCAACTCTGTGACTTCAATGCAAACATCACAAAGAAGTTTCTGAGAATGCTGCTGTCTGCTTTTTACATATATTCCCGTTTCCAACGAAATCCTCAAAGCTGCCCTAATATCCACTTGCATATTCCACAAAAAGTGTGTTGCAAAACTGCTCTCTCAAAAGAAAGGTTCAACTCTGTTAGCTGAGTAGATCCATCACATAAAAGTTTCTGACATTGCTTCTATCTAGATTTTCTTGGAAGATATTTCCATTTTCACCGTCGTCCTGAAAGCGCTCCAAATGTCCACTTCCAGGGAATGCAGAAAGAGTGTTTCCAACCTGCTCTATAAAAGGGAATGTTCAACACTGGGACTTCAATCGAAACATCCCAACGAAGTTTCTGAGAATGCTTCTGTCTAGAGTTTATATGAAGCCATTCCCGTTTGCAACGAAATCCTCAAAGCTATCCAAATATCCTCTTGCAGATTTTACAAAAAGAGTGTTTCAAAACTGCTCTATCAAAAGAAAGGTTCAACTCTGTTAGTTGAGGGCACACATCACAAATAAACTTCTGAGAATGCTTCTGTCTAGTTTTTACGGGAAGATATTTCCTTTTTCACCATAGGCCTGAAAGCGCTCCAAATGTCCTCATCCAGATACTACAAAAAGAGTGTTTCCAACCTGCTCTATGAAAGGGAATGCTCAACTCTGTGAATTGAATGCAGACATCACAAAGAAGTTTCTGAGAATGCTGCTGTCTCCTTTGTATATGTAATCCCGTTTCCAACGAAATCCTCAAAGCTAGCCAAATATCCACTTGCAGATTCCACGAAAACAGTGTTTCAAAACTGCTCCTTCAAAACGATGGTTCAATCCTGTTAGTTGAGCAAACACATCACAAATAAGTTTCTGAGAATGCTTCCGTCTAGTTTTTATGGGAAGATATTTCCTTTTTCAACATAGGCCTGAAAGCGCTCCAAATGTCCACTTCCAGATACTACAAAAAGAGTGTTTCAAATCTGCTCTATGAATGGGAATGTTCTACTCTGTGACTTGAATGCAACATCCCAAAGAAGTTTCTGAGAATGCTTCTGTCTAGAGTTTATCTGAAGACATACCCGTTTCCAACGAAATCCTCCAAGCTATCCAAATATCCTCTTGCAGATTCTACAAAAAGAGTGTTTCAAAGCTGCTCTTTGCAAAGAAAGGTTCAATTCTGTCAGTAGAGGGCACACATCACGAACAAGTTTCTGAGAATGCTTCTGTCTAGTTTTTATGGGAAGATATTTCCTTTTTCACGTTAGGCCTGAAAGCACGCCAAATGTTCACTTATAGACACTACAAAAAGAGTGTTTCAAACCTGCTCTGTGAAAGGGAATGTTCAACACTGTGACTTCAATTGAAACATCCCAAAGAAGTTTCTGAGAATGCTTCTGTCTAGAGTTTATCTGAAGACATTCCCGTTTCCCAAGTAAATCCTCAAAGCTATCCAAATATCCTCTTGCAGATTCTACAAAAAGAGTGTTTCAAAACTGCTCTTTGCAAAGAAAGGTTCAACTCTGTCAGTAGAGGGCACACATCACAAACAAGTTTCTGAGAATGCTTCTGTCTAGTTTTTATGGGAAGATATTTCCTTTTTCACCTTAGGCCTGAAAGCAATCCAAATGTTCACTTACAGACACTACAAAAAGAGTGTTTCAAACCTGCTCTGTGAAAGGGAGTGTTCAATTCTGTGACTTGAATGCAAACATCACAAAGTAGTTTCTGACAATGCTGCTGTCTGCTTTTTATACGTATTCCCGTTTCCAAGGAAATCCTCCAAGCTGGCCTAATACCCACTTGCATATTCCACAAAAAGAGTGTTTCAAAACTGCTCTCTCAAAAGAAAGGTTCAACTCTGTTTGCTGAGTAGATACATCATGAAAAAAGTTCTGACATTGCTTCTATCTAGTTTTTATTGGAAGATATCTCCTTTTTCACCGTAGACCTGAAAGCGCTCCAAATGTCCACTTCCAGATAGTACAAAAAGAGTGTTTCAAACCTGCTCTATGAATGGGAATGTTCAACACTGGGACTTCAATCGAAACATCCCAACGAAGTTTCTGAGAATGCTTCTGTCTAGAGTTTATATGAAGCCATTCCGTTTGCAACGAAATCCTCAAAGCTATCCAAATATCCTCTTGCAGATTTTACAAAAAGAGTGTTTCAAAACTGCTCTATCAAAAGAAAGGTTCAACTCTGTTAGTTGAGGGCACACATCAGAAATAAACTTCTGAGAATGCTTCTGTCTAGTTTTTACGGGAAGATATTTCCTTTTTCACCATACGCCTGAAAGCGCTCCAAATGTCCTCATCCAGATACTACAAAAAGAGTGTTTCAAACCTGCTCTATGAAAGGGAATGTTCAACACTGGGACTTCAATTGAAACATCCCAAAGCAGTTTCTGAGAATGCTTCTGTCTAGAGTTTACATGAAGACATTCCCGTTTCCAACGAAATCCTCAAAGCTATCCAAATATCCTCTTGCAGATTTTACAAAAAGTGTGTTTCAGAACTGCTCTATCAAAACAAAGGTTCAACACTATCAGTTGAGGGCACACATCACAAATAAGTTTCTGAGAATGCTGCTGTCTGCTTTTTGTATGTAATCCCGTTTCCAACGAAATCCTCCAAGCTAGCCAAATATCCACTTGCAGATTCCGCAAAAAGAGTGTTTCAAAACTGCTCCTTCAAAACGATGGTTTAGTTCTGTTAGTTGAGTACATACATCACAAATCAGTTTCTGAGAATGCTTTCTGTCTAGTTTTTATGGGAGGATATTTCCTTTTTCAACACAAGCCTGAATGCGCTCCGAATGGACACTTCCAGATATGACAAAAGGCGTGTTTCAAACCTGCTCTCTCAAAGGGAATGTTCAACTCTGTGACTTCAATGCAAACATCACAAAGAAGTTTCTGAGAATGCTGCTGTCTGCTTTTTACATGTATTCCCGTTTCCAACGAAATCCTCAAAGCTGCCCTAATATCCACTTGCATATTCCACAAAAAGAGTGTTGCAAAACTGCTCTCTCAAAAGAAAGGTTCAACTCTGTTAGCTGAGTAGATCCATCACATAAAAGTTTCTGACATTGCTTCTATCTAGATTTTCTTGGAAGATATTTCCATTTTCACCGTCGTCCTGAAAGCGCTCCAAATGTCCACTTCCAGGGAATGCAGAAAGAGTGTTTCCAACCTGCTCTATAAAAGGGAATGTTCAACACTGGGACTTCAATCGAAACATCCCAACGAAGTTTCTGAGAATGCTTCTGTCTAGAGTTTATATGAAGCCATTCCCGTTTGCAAGGAAATCCTCAAAGCTATCCAAATATCCTCTTGCAGATTTTACAAAAAGAGTGTTTCAAAACTGCTCTATCAAAAGAAAGGTTCAACTCTGTTAGTTGAGGGCACACATCACAAATAAATTTCTGAGAATGCTTCTGTCTAGTTTTTACGGGAAGATATTTCCTTTTTCACCATAGGCCTGAAAGCGCTCCAAATGTCCTCATCCAGATACTACAAAAAGAGTGTTTCCAACCTGCTCTATGAAAGGGAATGCTCAACTCTGTGACTTGAATGCAGACATCACAAAGAAGTTTCTGAGAATGCTGCTGTCTCCTTTTTATATGTAATCCCGTTTCCAACGAAATCCTCAAAGCTAGCCAAATATCCACTTGCAGATTCCACGAAAACAGTGTTTCAAAACTGCTCCTTCAAAACGATGGTTCAATTCTGTTAGTTGAGCAAACACATCACAAGTAAGTTTCTGAGAATGCTTCCGTCTAGTTTTTATGGGAAGATATTTCCTCTTTCAACATAGGCCTGAAAGCGCTCCAAATGTCCACTTCCAGATACTACAAAAAGAGTGTTTCAAATCTGCTCTATGAATGGGAATGTTCTACTCTGTGACTTGAATGCAACATCCCAAAGAAGTTTCTGAGAATGCTTCTGTCTAGAGTTTATCTGAAGACATACCCGTTTCCAACGAAATCCTCCAAGCTATCCAAATATCCTCTTGCAGATTCTACAAAAAGAGTGTTTCAAAGCTGCTCTTTGCAAAGAAAGGTTCAACTCTGTCAGTAGAGGGCACACATCACGAACAAGTTTCTGAGAATGCTTCTGTCTAGTTTTTATGGGAAGATATTTCCTTTTTCACGTTACGCCTGAAAGCACGCCAAATGTTCACTTATAGACACTACAAAAAGAGTGTTTCAAACCTGCTCTGTGAAAGGGAATGTTCAACACTGTGACTTCAATTGAAACATCCCAAAGAAGTTTCTGAGAATGCTTCTGTCTAGAGTTTATCTGAAGACATTCCCGTTTCCCAAGAAATCCTCAAAGCTATCCAAATATCCTCTTGCAGATTCTACAAAAGGAGTGTTTCAAAACTGCTCTTTGCAAAGAAAGGTTCAACTCTGTCAGTAGAGGGCACACATCACAAACAAGTTTCTGAGAGTGCTTCTGTCTAGTTTTTATGGGAAGATATTTCCTTTTTCACCTTAGGCCTGAAAGCAATCCAAATGTTCACTTACAGACACTACAAAAAGAGTGTTTCAAACCTGCTCTGTGAAAGGGAGTGTTCAATTCTGTGACTTGAATGCAAGCATCACAAAGTAGTTTCTGACAATGCTGCTGTCTGCTTTTTATACGTATTCCCGTTTCCAACGAAATCCTCCAAGCTGGCCTAATACCCACTTGCATATTCCACAAAAAGAGTGTTTCAAAACTGCTCTCTCAAAAGAAAGGTTCAACTCTGTTTGCTGAGTAGATACATCATGAAAAAAGTTCTGACATTGCTTCTATCTAGTTTTTATTGGAAGATATCTCCTTTTTCACCGTAGACCTGAAAGCGCTCCAAATGTCCACTTCCAGATAGTACAAAAAGAGTGTTTCAAACCTGCTCTATGAAAGGGAATGTTCAACACTGGGACTTCAATTGAAACATCCCAAAGCAGTTTCTGAGAATGCTTCTGTCTAGAGTTTACATGAAGACATTCCCGTTTCCAACGAAATCCTCAAAGCTATCCAAATATCCTCTTGCAGATTTTACAAAAAGTGTGTTTCAGAACTGCTCTATCAAAACAAAGGTTCAACACTGTCAGTTGAGGGCACACATCACAAATAAGTTTCTGAGAATTCTTCTGTCTAGTTTTCATGGGAAGAAATTTCCTTTTTCACCATAGGCCTGAAAGCAATCCAAATGTCCACATCCAGATACTACAAAAAGAGTGTTTCAAACCTGCTCTATGAAAGGGAATGTTCAACTCTGTGACTTGAATGCAAACATCACAAAGAAGTTTCTGAGAATGCTTCTGTCTAGTTTTTATGGGAGGATATTTCCTTTTTCAACACAAGCCTGAATGCGCTCCGAATGGACACTTCCAGATATGACAAAAGGCGTGTTTCAAACCTGCTCTCTCAAAGGGAATGTTCAACTCTGTGACTTCAATGCAAACATCACAAAGAAGTTTCTGAGAATGCTGCTGTCTGCTTTTTACATGTATTCCCGTTTCCAACGAAATCCTCAAAGCTGCCCTAATATCCACTTGCATATTCCACAAAAAGAGTGTTGCAAAACTGCTCTCTCAAAAGAAAGGTTCAACTCTGTTAGCTGAGTAGATCCATCACAGAAAAGTTTCTGACGTTGCTTCTAACTAGATTTTCTTGGAAGATATTTCCATTTTCACCGTCGTCCTGAAAGCGCTCCAAATGTCCACTTCCAGGGAATGCAGAAAGAGTGTTTCCAACCTGCTCTATAAAAGGGAATGTTCAACACTGGGACTTCAATCGAAACATCCCAACGAAGTTTCTGAGAATGCTTCTGTCTAGAGTTTATATGAAGCCATTCCCGTTTGCAATGAAATCCTCAAAGCTATCCAAATATCCTCTTGCAGATTTTACAAAAAGAGTGTTTCAAAACTGCTCTATCAAAAGAAAGGTTCAACTCTGTTAGTTGAGGGCACACATCACAAATAAATTTCTGAGAATGCTTCTGTCTAGTTTTTACGGGAAGATATTTCCTTTTTCACCATAGGCCTGAAAGCGCTCCAAATGTCCTCATCCAGATACTACAAAAAGAGTGTTTCCAACCTGCTCTATGAAAGGGAATGCTGAACTCTGTGAATTGAATGCAGACATCACAAAGAAGTTTCTGAGAATGCTGCTGTCTCCTTTTTATATGTAATCCCGTTTCCAACGAAATCCTCAAAGCTAGCCAAATATCCACTTGCAGATTCCACGAAAACAGTGTTTCAAAACTGCTCCTTCAAAACGATGGTTCAATTCTGTTAGTTGAGCAAACACATCACAAGTAAGTTTCTGAGAATGCTTCCGTCTAGTTTTTATGGGAAGATATTTCCTTTTTCAACATAGGCCTGAAAGCGCTCCAAATGTCCACTTCCAGATACTACAAAAAGAGTGTTTCAAATCTGCTCTATGAATGGGAATGTTCTACTCTGTGACTTGAATGCAACATCCCAAAGAAGTTTCTGAGAATGCTTCTGTCTAGAGTTTATCTGAAGACATACCCGTTTCCAACGAAATCCTCCAAGCTATCCAAATATCCTCTGGCAGATTCTACAAAAAGAGTGTTTCAAAGCTGCTCTTTGCAAAGAAAGGTTCAACTCTGTCAGTAGAGGGCACACATCACGAACAAGTTTCTGAGAATGCTTCTGTCTAGTTTTTATGGGAAGATATTTCCTTTTTCACGTTAGGCCTGAAAGCATGCCAAATGTTCACTTATAGACACTACAAAAAGAGTGTTTCAAACCTGCTCTGTGAAAGGGAATGTTCAACACTGTGACTTCAATTGAAACATCCCAAAGAAGTTTCTGAGAATGCTTCTGTCTAGAGTTTATCTGAAGACATTCCCGTTTCCCAAGAAATCCTCAAAGCTATCCAAATATCCTCTTGCAGATTCTACAAAAAGAGTGTTTCAAAACTGCTCTTTGCAAAGAAAGGTTCAACTCTGTCAGTAGAGGGCACACATCACAAACAAGTTTCTGAGAATGCTTCTGTCTAGTTTTTATGGGAAGATATTTCCTTTTTCACCTTAGGCCTGAAAGCAATCCATATGTTCACTTACAGACACTACAAAAAGAGTGTTTCAAACCTGCTCTGTGAAAGGGAGTGTTCAATTCTGTGACTTGAATGCAAACATCACAAAGTAGTTTCTGACAATGCTGCTGTCTGCTTTTTATACGTATTCCCGTTTCCAACGAAATCCTCCAAGCTGGCCTAATACCCACTTTCATATTCCACAAAAAGAGTGTTTCAAAACTGCTCTCTCAAAAGAAAGGTTCAACTCTGTTTGCTGAGTAGATACATCATGAAAAAAGTTCTGACATTGCTTCTATCTAGTTTTTATTGGAAGATATCTCCTTTTTCACCGTAGACCTGAAAGCGCTCCAAATGTCCACTTCCAGATAGTACAAAAAGAGTGTTTCAAACCTGCTCTATGAATGGGAATGTTCAACACTGGGACTTCAATTGAAACATCCCAAAGCAGTTTCTGAGAATGCTTCTGTGTAGAGTTTACATGAAGACATTCCCGTTTCCAACGAAATCCTCAAAGCTATCCAAATATCCTCTTGCAGATTTTACAAAAAGTGTGTTTCAGAACTGCTCTATCAAAACAAAGGTTCAACACTGTCAGTTGAGGGCACACATCACAAATAAGTTTCTGAGAATGCTGCTCTCTGCTTTTTGTATGTAATCCCGTTTCCAACGAAATCCTCCCAGCTAGCCAAATATCCACTTGCAGATTCCGCAAAAAGAGTGTTTCAAAACTGCTCCTTCAAAACGATGGTTTAGTTCTGTTAGTTGAGTACATACATCACAGATAAGTTTCTGAGAATGCTTCTGTCTAGTTTTTATGGGAGGATATTTCCTTTTTCAACACAAGCCTGAATGCGCTCCGAATGGACACTTCCAGATATGACAAAAGGCGTGTTTCAAACCTGCTCTCTCAAAGGGAATGTTCAACTCTGTGACTTCAATGCAAACATCAAAAAGAAGTTTCTGAGAATGCTGCTGTCTGCTTTTTACATGTATTCCCGTTTCCAACGAAATCCTCAAAGCTGCCCTAATATCCACTTGCATATTCCACAAAAAGAGTGTTGCAAAACTGCTCTCTCAAAAGAAAGGTTCAACTCTGTTAGCTGAGTAGATCCATCACAGAAAAGTTTCTGACGTTGCTTCTATCTAGATTTTCTTGGAAGATATTTCCATTTTCACCGTCGTCCTGAAAGCGCTCCAAATGTCCACTTCCAGGGAATGCAGAAAGAGTGTTTCCAACCTGCTCTATGAAAGGGAATGTTCAACACTGGGACTTCAATCGAAACATCCCAACGAAGTTTCTGAGAATGCTTCTGTCTAGAGTTTATATGAAGCCATTCCCGTTTGCAACGAAATCCTCAAAGCTATCCAAATATCCTCTTGCAGATTTTACAAAAAGAGTGTTTCAAAACTGCTCTATCAAAAGAAAGGTTCAACTCTGTTAGTTGAGGGCACACATCACAAATAAATTTCTGAGAATGCTTCTGTCTAGTTTTTACGGGAAGATATTTCCTTTTTCACCATAGGCCTGAAAGCGCTCCAAATGTCCTCATCCAGATACTACAAAAAGAGTGTTTCCAACCTGCTCTATGAAAGGGAATGCTCAACTCTGTGATTTGAATGCAGACATCACAAAGAAGTTTCTGAGAATGCTGCTGTCTCCTTTTTATATGTAATCCCGTTTCCAACGAAATCCTCAAAGCTAGCCAAATATCCACTTGCAGATTCCACGAAAACAGTGTTTCAAAACTGCTCCTTCAAAACGATGGTTCAATCCTGTTAGTTGAGCAAACACATCACAAATAAGTTTCTGAGAATGCTTCCGTCTAGTTTTTATGGGAAGATATTTCCTTTTTCAACATAGGCCTGAAAGCGCTCCAAATGTCCACTTCCAGATACTACAAAAAGAGTGTTTCAAATCTGCTCTATGAATGGGAATGTTCTACTCTGTGACTTGAATGCAACATCCCAAAGAAGTTTCTGAGAATGCTTCTGTCTAGAGTTTATCTGAAGACATACCCGTTTCCAACGAAATCCTCAAAGCTATCCAAATATCCTCTTGCAGATTCTACAAAAAGAGTGTTTCAAAGCTGCTCTTTGCAAAGAAAGGTTCAACTCTGTCAGTAGAGGGCACACATCATGAACAAGTTTCTGAGAATGCTTCTGTCTAGTTTTTATGGGAAGATATTTCCTTTTTCACGTTAGGCCTGAAAGCACGCCAAATGTTCACTTATGGACACTACAAAAAGAGTGTTTCAAACCTGCTCTGTGAAAGGGAATGTTCAACACTGTGACTTCAATTGAAACATCCCAAAGAAGTTTCTGAGAATGCTTCTGTCTAGAGTTTATCTGAAGACATTCCCGTTTCCCAAGAAATCTTCAAAGCTATCCAAATATCCTCTTGCAGATTCTACAAAAAGAGTGTTTCAAAACTGCTCTTTGCAAAGAAAGGTTCAACTCTGTCAGTAGAGGGCACACATCACAAACAAGTTTCTGAGAATGCTTCTGTCTAGTTTTTATGGGAAGATATTTCCTTTTTCACCTTAGGCCTGAAAGCAATCCATATGTTCACTTACAGACACTACAAAAAGAGTGTTTCAAACCTGCTCTGTGAAAGGGAGTGTTCAATTCTGTGACTTGAATGCAAACATCACAAAGTAGTTTCTGACAATGCTGCTGTCTGCTTTTTATACGTATTCCCGTTTCCAACGAAATCCTCCAAGCTGGCCTAATACCCACTTGCATATTCCACAAAAATAGTGTTTCAAAACTGCTCCCTCAAAAGAAAGGTTCAACTCTGTTTGCTGAGTAGATACATCATGAAAAAAGTTCTGACATTGCTTCTATCTAGTTTTTATTGGAAGATATCTCCTTTTTCACCGTAGACCTGAAAGCGCTCCAAATGTCCACTTCCAGATAGTACAAAAAGAGGGTTTCAAACCTGCTCTATGAAAGGGAATGTTCAACACTGGGACTTCAATTGAAACATCCCAAAGCAGTTTCTGAGAATGCTTCTGTCCAGAGTTTACATGAAGACATTCCCGTTTCCAACGAAATCCTCAAAGCTATCCAAATATCCTCTTGCAGATTTTACAAAAAGTGTGTTTCAGAACTGCTCTATCAAAACAAAGGTTCAACACTGTCAGTTGAGGGCACACATCACAAATAAGTTTCTGAGAATGCTGCTGTCTGCTTTTTGTATGTAATCCCGTTTCCAACGAAATCCTCCCAGCTAGCCAAATATCCACTTGCAGATTCCGCAAAAAGAGTGTTTCAAAACTGCTCCTTCAAAACGATGGTTTAGTTCTGTTAGTTGAGTACATACATCACAGATAAGTTTCTGAGAATGCTTCTGTCTAGTTTTTATGGGAGGATATTTCCTTTTTCAACACAAGCCTGAATGCGCTCCGAATGGACACTTCCAGATATGACAAAAGGCGTGTTTCAAACCTGCTCTCTCAAAGGGAATGTTCAACTCTGTGACTTCAATGCAAACATCACAAAGAAGTTTCTGAGAATGCTGCTGTCTGCTTTTTACATGTATTCCCGTTTCCAACGAAATCCTCAAAGCTGCCCTAATATCCACTTGCATATTCCACAAAAAGAGTGTTGCAAAACTGCTCTCTCAAAAGAAAGGTTCAACTCTGTTAGCTGAGTAGATCCATCACATAAAAGTTTCTGACATTGCTTCTATCTAGATTTTCTTGGAAGATATTTCCATTTTCACCGTCGTCCTGAAAGCGCTCCAAATGTCCACTTCCAGGGAATGCAGAAAGAGTGTTTCCAACCTGCTCTATAAAAGGGAATGTTCAACACTGGGACTTCAATCGAAACATCCCAACGAAGTTTCTGAGAATGCTTCTGTCTAGAGTTTATATGAAGCCATTCCCGTTTGCAATGAAATCCTCAAAGCTATCCAAATATCCTCTTGCAGATTTTACAAAAAGAGTGTTTCAAAACTGCTCTATCAAAAGAAAGGTTCAACTCTGTTAGTTGAGGGCACACATCACAAATAAATTTCTGAGAATGCTTCTGTCTAGTTTTTACGGGAAGATATTTCCTTTTTCACCATACGCCTGAAAGCGCTCCAAATGTCCTCATCCAGATACTACAAAAAGAGTGTTTCCAACCTGCTCTATGAAAGGGAATGCTCAACTCTGTGAATTGAATGCAGACATCACAAAGAAGTTTCTGAGAATGCTGCTGTCTCCTTTTTATATGTAATCCCGTTTCCAACGAAATCCTCAAAGCTAGCCAAATATCCACTTGCAGATTCCACGAAAACAGTGTTTCAAAACTGCTCCTTCAAAACGATGGTTCAATCCTGTTAGTTGAGCAAACACATCACAATTAAGTTTCTGAGAATGCTTCCGTCTAGTTTTTATGGGAAGATATTTCCTTTTTCAACATAGGCCTGAAAGCGCTCCAAATGTCCACTTCCAGATACTACAAAAAGAGTGTTTCAAATCTGCTCTATGAATGGGAATGTTCTACTCTGTGACTTGAATGCAACATCCCAAAGAAGTTTCTGAGAATGCTTCTGTCTAGAGTTTATCTGAAGACATACCCGTTTCCAACGAAATCCTCCAAGCTATCCAAATATCCTCTTGCAGATTCTACAAAAAGAGTGTTTCAAAGCTGCTCTTTGCAAAGAAAGGTTCAACTCTGTCAGTAGAGGGGACACATCAAGAACAAGTTTCTGAGAATGCTTCTGTCTAGTTTTTATGGGAAGATATTTCCTTTTTCACGTTAGGCCTGAAAGCACGCCAAATGTTCACTTATAGACACTACAAAAAGAGTGTTTCAAACCTGCTCTGTGAAAGGGAATGTTCAACACTGTGACTTCAATTGAAACATCCCAAAGAAGTTTCTGAGAATGCTTCTGTCTAGAGTTTATCTGAAGACATTCCCGTTTCCCAAGAAATCCTCAAAGCTATCCAAATATCCTCTTGCAGATTCTACAAAAAGAGTGTTTCAAAACTGCTCTTTGCAAAGAAAGGTTCAACTCTGTCAGTAGAGGGCACACATCACAAACAAGTTTCTGAGAATGCTTCTGTCTAGTTTTTATGGGAAGATATTTCCTTTTTCACCTTAGGCCTGAAAGCAATCCATATGTTCACTTACAGACACTACAAAAAGAGTGTTTCAAACCTGCTCTGTGAAAGGGAGTGTTCAATTCTGTGACTTGAATGCAAACATCACAAAGTAGTTTCTGACAATGCTGCTGTCTGCTTTTTATACGTATTCCCGTTTCCAACGAAATCCTCCAAGCTGGCCTAATACCCACTTGCATATTCCACAAAAAGAGTGTTTCAAAACTGCTCTCTCAAAAGAAAGGTTCAACTCTGTTTGCTGAGTAGATACATCATGAAAAAAGTTCTGACATTGCTTCTATCTAGTTTTTATTGGAAGATATCTCCTTTTTCACCGTAGACCTGAAAGCGCTCCAAATGTCCACTTCCAGATAGTACAAAAAGAGTGTTTCAAACCTGCTCTATGAAAGGGAATGTTCAACACTGGGACTTCAATTGAAACATCCCAAAGCAGTTTCTGAGAATGCTTCTGTCTAGAGTTTACATGAAGACATTCCCGTTTCCAACGAAATCCTCAAAGCTATCCAAATATCCTCTTGCAGATTTTACAAAAAGTGTGTTTCAGAACTGCTCTATCAAAACAAAGGTTCAACACTGTCAGTTGAGGGCACACATCACAAATAAGTTTCTGAGAATGCTTCTGTCTAGTTTTCATGGGAAGATATTTCCTTTTTCACCATAGGCCTGAAAGCGATCCAAATGTCCACATCCAGATACTACAAAAAGAGTGTTTCAAACCTGCTCTATGAAAGGGAATGTTCAACTCTGTGACTTGAATGCAAACATCACAAAGAAGTTTCTGAGAATGCGCTGTCTCCTTTGTATATGTAATCCCGTTTCCAACGAAATCCTCAAAGCTAGCCAAATATCCACTTGCAGATTCCACGAAAACAGTGTTTCAAAACTGCTCCTTCAAAACGATGGTTCAATCCTGTTAGTTGAGCAAACACATCACAATTAAGTTTCTGAGAATGCTTCCGTCTAGTTTTTATGGGAAGATATTTCCTTTTTCAACATAGGCCTGAAAGCGCTCCAAATGTCCACTTCCAGATACTACAAAAAGAGTGTTTCAAATCTGCTCTATGAATGGGAATGTTCTACTCTGTGACTTGCATGCAAATCCCAAAGAAGTTTCTGAGAATGCTTCTGTCTAGAGTTTATCTGAAGACATACCCGTTTCCAACGAAATCCTCAAAGCTATCCAAATATCCTCTTGCAGATTCTACAAAAAGTGTGTTTCAAAGCTGCTCTTTGCAAAGAAAGGTTCAACTCTGTCAGTAGAGGGCACACATCACGAACAAGTTTCTGAGAATGCTTCTGTCTAGTTTTTATGGGAAGATATTTCCTTTTTCACGTTACGCCTGAAAGCACGCCAAATGTTCACTTATAGACACTACAAAAAGAGTGTTTCAAACCTGCTCTGTGAAAGGGAATGTTCAACACTGTGACTTCAATTGAAACATCCCAAAGAAGTTTCTGAGAATGCTTCTGTCTAGAGTTTATCTGAAGACATTCCCGTTTCCCAAGAAATCCTCAAAGCTATCCAAATATCCTCTTGCAGATTCTACAAAAAGAGTGTTTCAAAACTGCTCTTTGCAAAGAAAGGTTCAACTCTGTCAGTAGAGGGCACACATCACAAACAAGTTTCTGAGAATGCTTCTGTCTAGTTTTTATGGGAAGATATTTCCTTTTTCACCTTAGGCCTGAAAGCAATCCAAATGTTCACTTACAGACACTACAAAAAGAGAGTTTCAAACCTGCTCTGTGAAAGGGAGTGTTCAATTCTGTGACTTGAATGCAAACATCACAAAGTAGTTTCTGACAATGCTGCTGTCTGCTTTTTATACGTATTCCCGTTTCCAACGAAATCCTCCAAGCTGGCCTAATACCCACTTGCATATTCCACAAAAGGAGTGTTTCAAAACTGCTCTCTCAAAAGAAAGGTTCAACTCTGTTTGCTGAGTAGATACATCATGAAAAAAGTTCTGACATTGCTTCTATCTAGTTTTTATTGGAAGATATCTCCTTTTTCACCGTAGACCTGAAAGCGCTCCAAATGTCCACTTCCAGATAGTACAAAAAGAGTGTTTCAAACCTGCTCTATGAAAGGGAATGTTCAACACTGGGACTTCAATTGAAACATCCCAAAGCAGTTTCTGAGAATGCTTCTGTCCAGAGTTTACATGAAGACATTCCCGTTTCCAACGAAATCCTCAAAGCTATCCAAATATCCTCTTGCAGATTTTACAAAAAGTGTGTTTCAGAACTGCTCTATCAAAACAAAGGTTCAACACTGTCAGTTGAGGGCACACATCACAAATAAGTTTCTGAGAATGCTGCTGTCTGCTTTTTGTATGTAATCCCGTTTCCAACGAAATCCTCCCAGCTAGCCAAATATCCACTTGCAGATTCCGCAAAAAGAGTGTTTCAAAACTGCTCCTTCAAAACGATGGTTTAGTTCTGTTAGTTGAGTACATACATCACAGATAAGTTTCTGAGAATGCTTCTGTCTAGTTTTTATGGGAGGATATTTCCTTTTTCAACACAAGCCTGAATGCGCTCCGAATGGACACTTCCAGATATGACAAAAGGCGTGTTTCAAACCTGCTCTCTCAAAGGGAATGTTCAACTCTGTGACTTCAATGCAAACATCACAAAGAAGTTTCTGAGAATGCTGCTGTCTGCTTTTTACATGTATTCCCGTTTCCAACGAAATCCTCAAAGCTGCCCTAATATCCACTTGCATATTCCACAAAAAGAGTGTTGCAAAACTGCTCTCTCAAAAGAAAGGTTCAACTCTGTTAGCTGAGTAGATCCATCACATAAAAGTTTCTGACATTGCTTCTATCTAGATTTTCTTGGAAGATATTTCCATTTTCACCGTCGTCCTGAAAGCGCTCCAAATGTCCACTTCCAGGGAATGCAGAAAGAGTGTTTCCAACCTGCTCTATAAAAGGGAATGTTCAACACTGGGACTTCAATCGAAACATCCCAACGAAGTTTCTGAGAATGCT
>NC_000020.11:27504466-27518701 GCF_000001405.40 Homo sapiens | reverse complement strand
GAAGCAATGTCAGAAACTTTTATGTGACGGATCTACTCAGCTAACAGAGTTGAACCTTTCTTTTGAGAGAGCAGTTTTGCAACACTGCACTCCAGCAATGGTGACACAGTGAGACTCTGTCTCAAAAAAATAAAGAAAAAATCTATCTAGATTTTCTTGGAAGATATTTCCATTTTCACCGTCGTCCTGAAAGCGCTCCAAATGTCCACTTCCAGGGAATGCAGAAAGAGTGTTTCCAACCTGCTCTATAAAAGGGAATGTTCAACACTGGGACTTCAATCGAAACATCCCAACGAAGTTTCTGAGAATGCTTCTGTCTAGAGTTTATATGAAGCCATTCCCGTTTGCAACGAAATCCTCAAAGCTATCCAAATATCCTCTTGCAGATTTTACAAAAAGAGTGTTTCAAAACTGCTCTATCAAAAGAAAGGTTCAACTCTGTTAGTTGAGGGCACACATCACAAATAAACTTCTGAGAATGCTTCTGTCTAGTTTTTACGGGAAGATATTTCCTTTTTCACCATACGCCTGAAAGCGCTCCAAATGTCCTCATCCAGATACTACAAAAAGAGTGTTTCCAACCTGCTCTATGAAAGGGAATGCTCAACTCTGTGAATTGAATGCAGACATCACAAAGAAGTTTCTGAGAATGCTGCTGTCTCCTTTGTATATGTAATCCCGTTTCCAACGAAATCCTCAAAGCTAGCCAAATATCCACTTGCAGATTCCACGAAAACAGTGTTTCAAAACTGCTCCTTCAAAACGATGGTTCAATCCTGTTAGTTGAGCAAACACATCACAAATAAGTTTCTGAGAATGCTTCCGTCTAGTTTTTATGGGAAGATATTTCCTTTTTCAACATAGGCCTGAAAGCGCTCCAAATGTCCACTTCCAGATACTACAAAAAGAGTGTTTCAAATCTGCTCTATGAATGGGAATGTTCTACTCTGTGACTTGAATGCAACATCCCAAAGAAGTTTCTGAGAATGCTTCTGTCTAGAGTTTATCTGAAGACATACCCGTTTCCAACGAAATCCTCCAAGCTATCCAAATATCCTCTTGCAGATTCTACAAAAAGAGTGTTTCAAAGCTGCTCTTTGCAAAGAAAGGTTCAACTCTGTCAGTAGAGGGGACACATCAAGAACAAGTTTCTGAGAATGCTTCTGTCTAGTTTTTATGGGAAGATATTTCCTTTTTCACGTTAGGCCTGAAAGCACGCCAAATGTTCACTTATAGACACTACAAAAAGAGTGTTTCAAACCTGCTCTGTGAAAGGGAATGTTCAACACTGACTTCAATTGAAACATCCCAAAGAAGTTTCTGAGAATGCTTCTGTCTAGAGTTTATCTGAAGACATTCCCGTTTCCCAAGAAATCCTCAAAGCTATCCAAATATCCTCTTGCAGATTCTACAAAAAGAGTGTTTCAAAACTGCTCTTTGCAAAGAAAGTTTCAACTCTGTCAGTAGAGGGCACACATCACAAACAAGTTTCTGAGAATGCTTCTGTCTAGTTTTTATGGGAAGATATTTCCTTTTTCACCTTAGGCGTGAAAGCAATCCAAATGTTCACTTACAGACACTACAAAAAGAGTGTTTCAAACCTGCTCTGTGAAAGGGAGTGTTCAATTCTGTGACTTGAATGCAAACATCACAAAGTAGTTTGCTGACAATGCTGCTGTCTGCTTTTTATACGTATTCCCGTTTCCAACGAAATCCTCCAAGCTGGCCTAATACCCACTTGCATATTCCACAAAAATAGTGTTTCAAAACTGCTCTCTCAAAAGAAAGGTTCAACTCTGTTAGCTGAGTAGATACATCATGAAAAAAGTTCTCACATTGCTTCTATCTAGTTTTTATTGGAAGATATCTCCTTTTTCACCGTAGACCTGAAAGCGCTCCAAATGTCCACTTCCAGATAGTACAAAAAGAGTGTTTCAAACCTGCTCTATGAATGGGAATGTTCAACACTGGGACTTCAATTGAAACATCCCAAAGCAGTTTCTGAGAATGCTTCTGTGTAGAGTTTACATGAAGACATTCCCGTTTCCAACGAAATCCTCAAAGCTATCCAAATATCCTCTTGCAGATTTTACAAAAAGTGTGTTTCAGAACTGCTCTATCAAAACAAAGGTTCAACACTGTCAGTTGAGGGCACACATCACAAATAAGTTTCTGAGAATGCTTCTGTCTAGTTTTCATGGGAAGATATTTCCTTTTTCACCATAGGCCTGAAAGCGATCCAAATGTCCACATCCAGATACTACAAAAAGAGTGTTTCAAACCTGCTCTATGAAAGGGAATGTTCAACTCTGTGACTTGAATGCAAACATCACAAAGAAGTTTCTGAGAATGCTGCTGTCTGCTTTTTGTATGTAATCCCGTTTCCAACGAAATCCTCCCAGCTAGCCAAATATCCACTTGCAGATTCCGCAAAAAGAGTGTTTCAAAACTGCTCCTTCAAAACGATGGTTTAGTTCTGTTAGTTGAGTACATACATCACAGATAAGTTTCGGAGAATGCTTCTGTCTAGTTTTTATGGGAGGATATTTCCTTTTTCAACACAAGCCTGAATGCGCTCCGAATGGACACTTCCAGATATGACAAAAGGCGTGTTTCAAACCTGCTCTCTCAAAGGGAATGTTCAACTCTGTGACTTCAATGCAAACATCACAAAGAAGTTTCTGAGAATGCTGGCTGTCTGCTTTTTACATGTATTCCCGTTTCCAACGAAATCCTCAAAGCTGCCCTAATATCCACTTGCATATTCCACAAAAGGAGTGTTGCAAAACTGCTCTCTCAAAAGAAAGGTTCAACTCTGTTAGCTGAGTAGATCCATCACATAAAAGTTTCTGACATTGCTTCTATCTAGATTTTCTTGGAAGATATTTCCATTTTCACCGTCGTCCAGAAAGCGCTCCAAATGTCCACTTCCAGGGAATGCAGAAAGAGTGTTTCCAACCTGCTCTATAAAAGGGAATGTTCAACACTGGGACTTCAATCGAAACATCCCAACGAAGTTTCTGAGAATGCTTCTGTCTAGAGTTTATATGAAGCGATTCCCGTTTGCAACGAAATCCTCAAAGCTATCCAAATATCCTCTTGCAGATTTTACAAAAAGAGTGTTTCAAAACTGCTCTATCAAAAGAAAGGTTCAACTCTGTTAGTTGAGGGCACACATCACAAATAAACTTCTGAGAATGCTTCTGTCTAGTTTTTACGGGAAGATATTTCCTTTTTCACCATACGCCTGAAAGCGCTCCAAATGTCCTCATCCAGATACTACAAAAAGAGTGTTTCCAACCTGCTCTATGAAAGGGAATGCTCAACTCTGTGAATTGAATGCAGACATCACAAAGAAGTTTCTGAGAATGCTGCTGTCTCCTTTGTATATGTAATCCCGTTTCCAACGAAATCCTCAAAGCTAGCCAAATATCCACTTGCAGATTCCACGAAAACAGTGTTTCAAAACTGCTCCTTCAAAACGATGGTTCAATCCTGTTAGTTGAGCAAACACATCACAAATAAGTTTCTGAGAATGCTTCCGTCTAGTTTTTATGGGAAGATATTTCCTTTTTCAACATAGGCCTGAAAGCGCTCCAAATGTCCACTTCCAGATACTACAAAAAGAGTGTTTCAAATCTGCTCTATGAATGGGAATGTTCTACTCTGTGACTTGAATGCAACATCCCAAAGAAGTTTCTGAGAATGCTTCTGTCTAGAGTTTATCTGAAGACATACCCGTTTCCAACGAAATCCTCCAAGCTATCCAAATATCCTCTTGCAGATTCTACAAAAAGAGTGTTTCAAAGCTGCTCTTTGCAAAGAAAGGTTCAACTCTGTCAGTAGAGGGGACACATCAAGAACAAGTTTCTGAGAATGCTTCTGTCTAGTTTTTATGGGAAGATATTTCCTTTTTCACGTTAGGCCTGAAAGCACGCCAAATGTTCACTTATAGACACTACAAAAAGAGTGTTTCAAACCTGCTCTGTGAAAGGGAATGTTCAACACTGTGACTTCAATTGAAACATCCCAAAGAAGTTTCTGAGAATGCTTCTGTCTAGAGTTTATCTGAAGACATTCCCGTTTCCCAAGAAATCCTCAAAGCTATCCAAATATCCTCTTGCAGATTCTACAAAAAGAGTGTTTCAAAACTGCTCTTTGCAAAGAAAGGTTCAACTCTGTCAGTAGAGGGCACACATCACAAACAAGTTTCTGAGAATGCTTCCGTCTAGTTTTTATGGGAAGATATTTCCTTTTTCACCTTAGGCCTGAAAGCAATCCAAATGTTCACTTACAGACACTACAAAAAGAGTGTTTCAAACCTGCTCTGTGAAAGGGAGTGTTCAATTCTGTGACTTGAATGCAAACATCACAAAGTAGTTTCTGACAATGCTGCTGTCTGCTTTTTATACGTATTCCCGTTTCCAACGAAATCCTCCAAGCTGGCCTAATACCCACTTGCATATTCCACAAAAAGAGTGTTTCAAAACTGCTCTCTCAAAAGAAAGGTTCAACTCTGTTTGCTGAGTAGATACATCATGAAAAAAGTTCTGACATTGCTTCTATCTAGTTTTTATTGGAAGATATCTCCTTTTTCACCGTAGACCTGAAAGCGCTCCAAATGTCCACTTCCAGATACTACAAAAAGAGTGTTTCAAACCTGCTCTATGAAAGGGAATGTTCAACACTGGGACTTCAATTGAAACATCCCAAAGCAGTTTCTGAGAATGCTTCTGTCTAGAGTTTACATGAAGACATTCCCGTTTCCAACGAAATCCTCAAAGCTATCCAAATATCCTCTTGCAGATTTTACAAAAAGTGTGTTTCAGAACTGCTCTATCAAAACAAAGGTTCAACACTGTCAGTTGAGGGCACACATCACAAATAAGTTTCTGAGAATGCTTCTGTCTAGTTTTCATGGGAAGATATTTCCTTTTTCACCATAGGCCTGAAAGCGATCCAAATGTCCACATCCAGATACTACAAAAAGAGTGTTTCAAACCTGCTCTATGAAAGGGAATGTTCAACTCTGTGACTTGAATGCAAACATCACAAAGAAGTTTCTGAGAATGCTGCTGTCTGCTTTTTGTATGTAATCCCGTTTCCAACGAAATCCTCCCAGCTAGCCAAATATCCACTTGCAGATTCCGCAAAAAGAGTGTTTCAAAACTGCTCCTTCAAAACGATGGTTTAGTTCTGTTAGTTGAGTACATACATCACAGATAAGTTTCTGAGAATGCTTCTGTCTAGTTTTTCTGGGAGGATATTTCCTTTTTCAACACAAGCCTGAAAGCGCTCCGAATGGACACTTCCAGATATGACAAAAGGCGTGTTTCAAACCTGCTCTCTCAAAGGGAATGTTCAACTCTGTGACTTCAATGCAAACATCACAAAGAAGTTTCTGAGAATGCTGCTGTCTGCTTTTTACATGTATTCCCGTTTCCAACGAAATCCTCAAAGCTGCCCTAATATCCACTTGCATATTCCACAAAAAGAGTGTTGCAAAACTGCTCTCTCAAAAGAAAGGTTCAACTCTGTTAGCTGAGTAGATCCATCACAGAAAAGTTTCTGACGTTGCTTCTATCTAGATTTTATTGGAAGATATTTCCATTTTCACCGTCGTCCTGAAAGCGCTCCAAATGTCCACTTCCAGGGAATGCAGAAAGAGTGTTTCCAACCTGCTCTATAAAAGGGAATGTTCAACACTGGGACTTCAATCGAAACATCCCAACGAAGTTTCTGAGAATGCTTCTGTCTAGAGTTTATATGAAGCCATTCCCGTTTGCAATGAAATCCTCCAAGCTATCCAAATATCCTCTTGCAGATTTTACAAAAAGAGTGTTTCAAAACTGCTCTATCAAAAGAAAGGTTCAACTCTGTTAGTTGAGGGCACACATCACAAATAAATTTCTGAGAATGCTTCTGTCTAGTTTTTACGGGAAGATATTTCCTTTTTCACCATAGGCCTGAAAGCGCTCCAAATGTCCTCATCCAGATACTACAAAAAGAGTGTTTCCAACCTGCTCTATGAAAGGGAATGCTCAACTCTGTGACTTGAATGCAGACATCACAAAGAAGTTTCTGAGAATGCTGCTGTCTCCTTTTTATATGTAATCCCGTTTCCAACGAAATCCTCAAAGCTAGCCAAATATCCACTTGCAGATTCCACGAAAACAGTGTTTCAAAACTGCTCCTTCAAAACGATGGTTCAATTCTGTTAGTTGAGCAAACACATCACAAGTAAGTTTCTGAGAATGCTTCCGTCTAGTTTTTATGGGAAGATATTTCCTTTTTCAACATAGGCCTGAAAGCGCTCCAAATGTCCACTTCCAGATACTACAAAAAGAGTGTTTCAAATCTGCTCTATGAATGGGAATGTTCTACTCTGTGACTTGAATGCAACATCCCAAAGAAGTTTCTGAGAATGCTTCTGTCTAGAGTTTATCTGAAGACATACCCGTTTCCAACGAAATCCTCAAAGCTATCCAAATATCCTCTTGCAGATTCTACAAAAAGAGTGTTTCAAAGCTGCTCTTTGCAAAGAAAGGTTCAACTCTGTCAGTAGAGGGCACACATCACGAACAAGTTTCTGAGAATGCTTCTGTCTAGTTTTTATGGGAAGATATTTCCTTTTTCACCTTAGGCCTGAAAGCACGCCAAATGTTCACTTATAGACACTACAAAAAGAGTGTTTCAAACCTGCTCTGTGAAAGGGAGTGTTCAATTCTGTGACTTGAATGCAAACATCACAAAGTAGTTTCTGACAATGCTGCTGTCTGCTTTTTATACGTATTCCCGTTTCCAACGAAATCCTCCAAGCTGGCCTAATACCCACTTGCATATTCCACAAAAAGAGTGTTTCAAAACTGCTCTCTCAAAAGAAAGGTTCAACTCTGTTAGCTGAGTAGATACATCATGAAAAAAGTTCTGACATTGCTTCTATCTAGTTTTTATTGGAAGATATCTCCTTTTTCACCGTAGACCTGAAAGCGCTCCAAATGTCCACTTCCAGATAGTACAAAAAGAGTGTTTCAAACCTGCTCTATGAATGGGAATGTTCAACACTGGGACTTCAATTGAAACATCCCAAAGCAGTTTCTGAGAATGCTTCTGTGTAGAGTTTACATGAAGACATTCCCGTTTCCAACGAAATCCTCAAAGCTATCCAAATATCCTCTTGCAGATTTTACAAAAAGTGTGTTTCAGAACTGCTCTATCAAAACAAAGGTTCAACACTGTCAGTTGAGGGCACATATCACAAATAAGTTTCTGAGAATGCTTCTGTCTAGTTTTCATGGGAAGATATTTCCTTTTTCACCATAGGCCTGAAAGCGATCCAAATGTCCACATCCAGATACTACAAAAAGAGTGTTTCAAACCTGCTCTATGAAAGGGAATGTTCAACTCTGTGACTTGAATGCAAACATCACAAAGAAGTTTCTGAGAATGCTGCTGTCTGCTTTTTGTATGTAATCCCGTTTCCAACGAAATCCTCCCAGCTAGCCAAATATCCACTTGCAGATTCCGCAAAAAGAGTGTTTCAAAACTGCTCCTTCAAAACGATGGTTTAGTTCTGTTAGTTGAGTACATACATCACAGATAAGTTTCTGAGAATGCTTCTGTCTAGTTTTTATGGGAGGATATTTCCTTTTTCAACACAAGCCTGAATGCGCTCCGAATGGACACTTCCAGATATGACAAAAGGCGTGTTTCAAACCTGCTCTCTCAAAGGGAATGTTCAACTCTGTGACTTCAATGCAAACATCACAAAGAAGTTTCTGAGAATGCTGCTGTCTGCTTTTTACATGTATTCCCGTTTCCAACGAAATCCTCAAAGCTGCCCTAATATCCACTTGCATATTCCACAAAAAGAGTGTTGCAAAACTGCTCTCTCAAAAGAAAGGTTCAACTCTGTTAGCTGAGTAGATCCATCACAGAAAAGTTTCTGACATTGCTTCTATCTAGATTTTATTGGAAGATATTTCCATTTTCACCGTCGTCCTGAAAGCGCTCCAAATGTCCACTTCCAGGGAATGCAGAAAGAGTGTTTCCAACCTGCTCTATAAAAGGGAATGTTCAACACTGGGACTTCAATCAAAACATCCCAACGAAGTTTCTGAGAATGCTTCTGTCTAGAGTTTATATGAAGCCATTCCCGTTTGCAACGAAATCCTCAAAGCTATCCAAATATCCTCTTGCAGATTTTACAAAAAGAGTGTTTCAAAACTGCTCTATCAAAAGAAAGGTTCAACTCTGTTAGTTGAGGGCACACATCTCAAATAAACTTCTGAGAATGCTTCTGTCTAGTTTTTACGGGAAGATATTTCCTTTTTCACCATACGCCTGAAAGCGCTCCAAATGTCCTCATCCAGATACTACTAAAAGAGTGTTTCCAACCTGCTCTATGAAAGGGAATGCTCAACTCTGTGACTTGAATGCAGACATCACAAAGAAGTTTCTGAGAATGCTGCTGGCTCCGTTTTATATGTAATCCCATTTCCAACGAAATCCTCAAAGCTAGCCAAATATCCACTTGCAGATTACACGAAAACAGTGTTTCAAAACTGCTCCTTCAAAACGATGGTTCAATTCTGTTAGTTGAGCAAACACATCACAAGTAAGTTTCTGAGAATGCTTCCGTCTAGTTTTTATGGGAAGATATTTCCTTTTTCAACATAGGCCTGAAAGCGCTCCAAATGTCCACTTCCAGATACTACAAAAAGAGTGTTTCAAATCTGCTCTATGAATGGGAATGTTCTACTCTGTGACTTGAATGCAACATCCCAAAGAATTTTCTGAGAATGCTTCTGTCTAGAGTTTATCTGAAGACATACCCGTTTCCAACGAAATCCTCAAAGCTTTCCAAATATCCTCTTGCAGATTCTACAAAAAGTGTGTTTCAAAGCTGCTCTTTGCAAAGAAAGGTTCAACTCTGTCAGTAGAGGGCACACATCACGAACAAGTTTCTGAGAATGCTTCTGTCTAGTTTTTATGGGAAGATATTTCCTTTTTCACGTTAGGCCTGAAAGCACGCCAAATGTTCACTTATAGACACTACAAAAAGAGTGTTTCAAACCTGCTCTGTGAAAGGGAATGTTCAACACTGTGACTTCAATTGAAACATCCCAAAGAAGTTTCTGAGAATGCTTCTGTCTAGAGTTTATCTGAAGACATTCCCGTTTCCCAAGAAATCCTCAAAGCTATCCAAATATCCTCTTGCAGATTCTACAAAAAGAGTGTTTCAAAACTGCTCTTTGCAAAGAAAGGTTCAACTCTGTCAGTAGAGGGCACACATCACAAACAAGTTTCTGAGAATGCTTCTGTCTAGTTTTTATGGGAAGATATTTCCTTTTTCACCTTAGGCCTGAAAGCAATCCATATGTTCACTTACAGACACTACAAAAAGAGTGTTTCAAACCTGCTCTGTGAAAGGGAGTGTTCAATTCTGTGACTTGAATGCAAACATCACAAAGTAGTTTCTGACAATGCTGCTGTCTGCTTTTTATACGTATTCCCGTTTCCAACGAAATCCTCCAAGCTGGCCTAATACCCACTTGCATATTCCACAAAAAGAGTGTTTCAAAACTGCTCTCTCAAAAGAAAGGTTCAACTCTGTTTGCTGAGTAGATACATCATGAAAAAAGTTCTGACATTGCTTCTATCTAGTTTTTATTGGAAGATATATCCTTTTTCACCGTAGACCTGAAAGCGCTCCAAATGTCCACTTCCAGATAGTACAAAAAGAGTGTTTCAAACCTGCTCTATGAAAGGGAATGTTCAACACTGGGACTTCAATTGAAACATCCCAAAGCAGTTTCTGAGAATGCTTCTGTCTAGAGTTTACATGAAGACATTCCCGTTTCCAACGAAATCCTCAAAGCTATCCAAATATCCTCTTGCAGATTTTACAAAAAGTGTGTTTCAGAACTGCTCTATCAAAACAAAGGTTCAACACTGTCAGTTGAGGACACACATCACAAATAAGTTTCTGAGAATGCTTCTGTCTAGTTTTCATGGGAAGATATTTCCTTTTTCACCATAGGCCTGAAAGCGATCCAAATGTCCACATCCAGATACTACAAAAAGAGTGTTTCAAACCTGCTCTATGAAAGGGAATGTTCAACTCTGTGACTTGAATGCAAACATCACAAAGAAGTTTCTGAGAATGCTGCTGTCTGCTTTTTGTATGTAATCCCGTTTCCAACGAAATCCTCCCAGCTAGCCAAATATCCACTTGCAGATTCCGCAAAAAGAGTGTTTCAAAACTGCTCCTTCAAAACGATGGTTTAGTTCTGTTAGTTGAGTACATACATCACAGATAAGTTTCTGAGAATGCTTCTGTCTAGTTTTTCTGGGAGGATATTTCCTTTTTCAACACAAGCCTGAATGCGCTCCGAATGGACACTTCCAGATATGACAAAAGGCGTGTTTCAAACCTGCTCTCTCAAAGGGAATGTTCAACTCTGTGACTTCAATGCAAACATCACAAAGAAGTTTCTGAGAATGCTGCTGTCTGCTTTTTACATGTATTCCCGTTTCCAACGAAATCCTCAAAGCTGCCCTAATATCCACTTGCATATTCCACAAAAAGAGTGTTGCAAAACTGCTCTCTCAAAAGAAAGGTTCAACTCTGTTAGCTGAGTAGATCCATCACAGAAAAGTTTCTGACATTGCTTCTATCTAGATTTTCTTGGAAGATATTTCCATTTTCACCGTCGTCCTGAAAGCGCTCCAAATGTCCACTTCCAGGGAATGCAGAAAGAGTGTTTCCAACCTGCTCTATAAAAGGGAATGTTCAACACTGGGACTTCAATCGAAACATCCCAACGAAGTTTCTGAGAATGCTTCTGTCTAGAGTTTATATGAAGCCATTCCCGTTTGCAACGAAATCCTCAAAGCTATCCAAATATCCTCTTGCAGATTTTACAAAAAGAGTGTTTCAAAACTGCTCTATCAAAAGAAAGGTTCAACTCTGTTAGTTGAGGGCACACATCACAAATAAATTTCTGAGAATGCTTCTGTCTAGTTTTTACGGGAAGATATTTCCTTTTTCACCATACGCCTGAAAGCGCTCCAAATGTCCTCATCCAGATACTACAAAAAGAGTGTTTCCAACCTGCTCTATGAAAGGGAATGCTCAACTCTGTGACTTGAATGCAGACATCACAAAGAAGTTTCTGAGAATGCTGCTGTCTCCTTTTTATATGTAATCCCGTTTCCAACGAAATCCTCAAAGCTAGCCAAATATCCACTTGCAGATTCCACGAAAACAGTGTTTCAAAACTGCTCCTTCAAAACGATGGTTCAATTCTGTTAGTTGAGCAAACACATCACAAGTAAGTTTCTAAGAATGCTTCCGTCTAGTTTTTATGGGAAGATATTTCCTTTTTCACGTTACGCCTGAAAGCACGCCAAATGTTCACTTATAGACACTACAAAAAGAGTGTTTCAAACCTGCTCTGTGAAAGGGAATGTTCAACACTGTGACTTCAATTGAAACATCCCAAAGAAGTTTCTGAGAATGCTTCTGTCTAGAGTTTATCTGAAGACATACCCGTTTCCAACGAAATCCTCAAAGCTATCCAAATATCCTCTTGCAGATTCTACAAAAAGAGTGTTTCAAAGCTGCTCTTTGCAAAGAAAGGTTCAACTCTGTCAGTAGAGGGCACACATCACGAACAAGTTTCTGAGAATGCTTCTGTCTAGTTTTTATGGGAAGATATTTCCTTTTTCACGTTAGGCCTGAAAGCACGCCAAATGTTCACTTATAGACACTACAAAAAGAGTGTTTCAAACCTGCTCTGTGAAAGGGAATGTTCAACACTGTGACTTCAATTGAAACATCCCAAAGAAGTTTCTGAGAATGCTTCTGTCTAGAGTTTATCTGAAGACATACCCGTTTCCAACGAAATCCTCAAAGCTATCCACATATCCTCTTGCAGATTCTACAAAAAGAGTGTTTCAAAGCTGCTCTTTGCAAAGAAAGGTTCAACTCTGTCAGTAGAGGGCACACATCACGAACAAGTTTCTGAGAATGCTTCTGTCTAGTTTTTATGGGAAGATATTTCCTTTTTCACGTTAGGCCTGAAAGCACGCCAAATGTTCACTTACAGACACTACAAAAAGAGTGTTTCAAACCTGCTCTGTGAAAGGGAATGTTCAACACTGTGACTTCAATTGAAACATCCCAAAGAAGTTTCTGAGAATGCTTCTGTCTAGAGTTTATCTGAAGACATTCCCGTTTCCCAAGAAATCCTCAAAGCTATCCAAATATCCTCTTGCAGATTCTACAAAAAGAGTGTTTCAAAACTGCTCTTTGCAAAGAAAGGTTCAACTCTGTCAGTAGAGGGCACACATCACAAACAAGTTTCTGAGAATGCTTCTGTCTAGTTTTTATGGGAAGATATTTCCTTTTTCACCTTAGGCCTGAAAGCAATCCAAATGTTCACTTACAGACACTACAAAAAGAGTGTTTCAAACCTGCTCTGTGAAAGGGAGTGTTCAGTTCTGTGACTTGAATGCAAACATCACAAAGTAGTTTCTGACAATGCTGCTGTCTGCTTTTTATACGTATTCCCGTTTCCAACGAAATCCTCCAAGCTGGCCTAATACCCACTTTCATATTCCACAAAAAGAGTGTTTCAAAACTGCTCTCTCAAAAGAAAGGTTCAACTCTGTTTGCTGAGTAGATACATCATGAAAAAAGTTCTGACATTGCTTCTATCTAGTTTTTATTGGAAGATATCTCCTTTTTCACCGTAGACCTGAAAGCGCTCCAAATGTCCACTTCCAGATAGTACAAAAAGAGTGTTTCAAACCTGCTCTATGAATGGGAATGTTCAACACTGGGACTTCAATTGAAACATCCCAAAGCAGTTTCTGAGAATGCTTCTGTGTAGAGTTTACATGAAGACATTCCCGTTTCCAACGAAATCCTCAAAGCTATCCAAATATCCTCTTGCAGATTTTACAAAAAGTGTGTTTCAGAACTGCTCTATCAAAACAAAGGTTCAACACTGTCAGTTGAGGGCACACATCACAAATAAGTTTCTGAGAATGCTTCTGTCTAGTTTTCATGGGAAGATATTTCCTTTTTCACCATAGGCCTGAAAGCGATCCAAATGTCCACATCCAGATACTACAAAAAGAGTGTTTCAAACCTGCTCTATGAAAGGGAATGTTCAACTCTGTGACTTGAATGCAAACATCACAAAGAAGTTTCTGAGAATGCTGCTCTCTGCTTTTTGTATGTAATCCCGTTTCCAACGAAATCCTCCAAGCTAGCCAAATATCCACTTGCAGATTCCGCAAAAAGAGTGTTTCAAAACTGCTCCTTCAAAACGATGGTTTAGTTCTGTTAGTTGAGTACATACATCACAAATAAGTTTCTGAGAATGCTTCTGTCTAGTTTTTCTGGGAGGATATTTCCTTTTTCAACACAAGCCTGAATGCGCTCCGAATGGACACTTCCAGATATGACAAAAGGCGTGTTTCAAACCTGCTCTCTCAAAGGGAATGTTCAACTCTGTGACTTCAATGCAAACATCACAAAGAAGTTTCTGAGAATGCTGCTGTCTGCTTTTTACATGTATTCCCGTTTCCAACGAAATCCTCAAAGCTGCCCTAATATCCACTTGCATATTCCACAAAAAGAGTGTTGCAAAACTGCTCTCTCAAAAGAAAGGTTCAACTCTGTTAGCTGAGTAGATCCATCACATAAAAGTTTCTGACGTTGCTTCTATCTAGATTTTCTTGGAAGATATTTCCATTTACACCGTCGTCCTGAAAGCGCTCCAAATGTCCACTTCCAGGGAATGCAGAAAGAGTGTTTCCAACCTACTCTATAAAAGGGAATGTTCAACACTGGGACTTCAATCGAAACATCCCAACGAAGTTTCTGAGAATGCTGAAGCATTCTCAGAAACTTATTTGTGATGTGTGCCCTCAACTGACAGTGTTGAACCTTTGTTTTGATAGAGCAGTTCTGAAACACACTTTTTGTAAAATCTGCAAGAGGATATTTGGATAGCTTTGAGGATTTCGTTGGAAACGGGAATGTCTTCATGTAAACTCTAGACACAGCTTCCAATAAGATCTTGTGTCCGTGTTGTGAATTGTGTCCGTGTTAGTACTTTGTGGAAATCAGAACTTAGGAGTGATGAACTAGGATATTCGATAGAAAAAATCTCTAAGCAAAGTGTTTCAGGGTGCTGCGTGGCTTCTCTTGACTGTTTA
>NC_000020.11:26634895-26646454 GCF_000001405.40 Homo sapiens | reverse complement strand
TCTGTCTAGTTTTTATGGGAAGATATTTCCTTTTTCACCTTAGGCCTGAAAGCACGCCAAATGTTCACTTATAGACACTACAAAAAGAGTGTTTGAAACCTGCTCTGTGAAAGGGAGTGTTCAATTCTGTGACTTGAATGCAAACATCACAAAGTAGTTTCTGACAATGCTGCTGTCTGCTTTTTATACGTATTCCCGTTTCCAACGAAATCCTCCAAGCTGGCCTAATACCCACTTGCATATTCCACAAAAAGAGTGTTTCAAAACTGCTCTCTCAAAAGAAAGGTTCAACTCTGTTAGCTGAGTAGATACATCATGAAAAAAGTTCTGACATTGCTTCTATCTAGTTTTTATTGGAAGATATCTCCTTTTTCACCGTAGACCTGAAAGCGCTCCAAATGTCCACTTCCAGATAGTACAAAAAGAGTGTTTCAAACCTGCTCTATGAATGGGAATGTTCAACACTGGGACTTCAATTGAAACATCCCAAAGCAGTTTCTGAGAATGCTTCTGTCTAGAGTTTACATGAAGACATTCCCGTTTCCAACGAAATCCTCAAAGCTATCCAAATATCCTCTTGCAGATTTTACAAAAAGTGTGTTTCAAAACTGCTCTATCAAAACAAAGGTTCAACACTGTCAGTTGAGGGCACACATCACAAATAAGTTTGCTGAGAATGCTTGCTGTCTGCTTTTTGTATGTAATCCCGTTTCCAACGAAATCCTCCCAGCTAGCCAAATATCCACTTGCAGATTCCGCAAAAAAGTGTTTCAAAACTGCTCCTTCAAAACGATGGTTTAGTTCTGTTAGTTGAGTACATACATCACAGATAAGTTTCTGAGAATGCTTCTGTCTAGTTTTTATGGGAGGATATTTCCTTTTTCAACACAAGCCTGAATGCGCTCCGAATGGACACTTCCAGATATGACAAAAGGCGTGTTTCAAACCTGCTCTCTCAAAGGGAATGTTCAACTCTGTGACTTCAATGCAAACATCACAAAGAAGTTTCTGAGAATGCTGCTGTCTGCTTTTTACATGTATTCCCGTTTCCAACGAAATCCTCAAAGCTGCCCTAATATCCACTTGCATATTCCACAAAAAGAGTGTTGCAAAACTGCTCTCTCAAAAGAAAGGTTCAACTCTGTTAGCTGAGTAGATCCATCACAGAAAAGTTTCTGACGTTGCTTCTATCTAGATTTTATTGGAAGATATTTCCATTTTCACCGTCGTCCTGAAAGCGCTCCAAATGTCCACTTCCAGGGAATGCAGAAAGAGTGTTTCCAACCTGCTCTATAAAAGGGAATGTTCAACACTGGGACTTCAATCGAAACATCCCAACGAAGTTTCTGAGAATGCTTCTGTCTAGAGTTTATATGAAGCCATTCCCGTTTGCAACGAAATCCTCAAAGCTATCCAAATATCCTCTTGCAGATTTTACAAAAAGAGTGTTTCAAAACTGCTCTATCGAAAGAAAGGTTCAACTCTGTTAGTTGAGGGCACACATCACAAATAAATTTCTGAGAATGCTTCTGTCTAGTTTTTACGGGAAGATATTTCCTTTTTCACCATACGCCTGAAAGCGCTCCAAATGTCCTCATCCAGATACTACAAAAAGAGTGTTTCCAACCTGCTCTATGAAAGGGAATGCTCAACTCTGTGAATTGAATGCAGACATCACAAAGAAGTTTCTGAGAATGCTGCTGTCTCCTTTGTATATGTAATCCCGTTTCCAACGAAATCCTCAAAGCTAGCCAAATATCCACTTGCAGATTCCACGAAAACAGTGTTTCAAAACTGCTCCTTCAAAACGATGGTTCAATTCTGTTAGTTGAGCAAACACATCACAAGTAAGTTTCTGAGAATGCTTCCGTCTAGTTTTTATGGGAAGATATTTCCTTTTTCAACATAGGCCTGAAAGCGCTCCAAATGTCCACTTCCAGATACTACAAAAAGAGTGTTTCAAATCTGCTCTATGAATGGGAATGTTCTACTCTGTGACTTGAATGCAACATCCCAAAGAAGTTTCTGAGAATGCTTCTGTCTAGAGTTTATCTGAAGACATACCCGTTTCCAACGAAATCCTCAAAGCTATCCAAATATCCTCTTGCAGATTCTACAAAAAGAGTGTTTCAAAGCTGCTCTTTGCAAAAAAAGGTTCAACTCTGTCAGTAGAGGGCACACATCACGAACAAGTTTCTGAGAATGCTTCTGTCTAGTTTTTATGGGAAGATATTTCCTTTTTCACGTTAGGCCTGAAAGCACGCCAAATGTTCACTTATAGACACTACAAAAAGAGTGTTTCAAACCTGCTCTGTGAAAGGGAATGTTCAACACTGTGACTTCAATTGAAACATCCCAAAGAAGTTTCTGAGAATGCTTCTGTCTAGAGTTTATCTGAAGACATACCCGTTTCCAACGAAATCCTCAAATCTATCCACATATCCTCTTGCAGATTCTACAAAAAGAGTGTTTCAAAGCTGCTCTTTGCAAAGAAAGGTTCAACTCTGTCAGTAGAGGGCACACATCACGAACAAGTTTCTGAGAATGCTTCTGTCTAGTTTTTATGGGAAGATATTTCCTTTTTCACGTTAGGCCTGAAAGCACGCCAAATGTTCAATTATAGACACTACAAAAAGAGTGTTTCAAACCTGCTCTGTGAAAGGGAATGTTCAACACTGTGACTTCAATTGAAACATCCCAAAGAAGTTTCTGAGAATGCTTCTGTCTAGAGTTTATCTGAAGACATTCCCGTTTCCCAAGAAATCCTCAAAGCTATCCAAATATCCTCTTGCAGATTCTACAAAAAGAGTGTTTCAAAACTGCTCTTTGCAAAGAAAGGTTCAACTCTGTCAGTAGAGGGCACACATCACAAACAAGTTTCTGAGAATGCTTCTGTCTAGTTTTTATGGGAAGATATTTCCTTTTTCACCTTAGGCCTGAAAGCAATCCAAATGTTCACTTACAGACACTACAAAAAGAGTGTTTCAAACCTGCTCTGTGAAAGGGAGTGTTCAATTCTGTGACTTGAATGCAAACATCACAAAGTAGTTTCTGACAATGCTGCTGTCTGCTTTTTATGCGTATTCCCGTTTCCAACGAAATCCTCCAAGCTGGCCTAATACCCACTTGCATATTCCACAAAAAGAGTGTTTCAAAACTGCTCTCTCAAAAGAAAGGTTCAACTCTGTTTGCTGAGTAGATACATCATGAAAAAAGTTCTGACATTGCTTCTATCTAGTTTTTATTGGAAGATATCTCCTTTTTCACCGTAGACCTGAAAGCGCTCCAAATGTCCACTTCCAGATAGTACAAAAAGAGTGTTTCAAACCTGCTCTATGAAAGGGAATGTTCAACACTGGGACTTCAATTGAAACATCCCAAAGCAGTTTCTGAGAATGCTTCTGTCTAGAGTTTACATGAAGACATTCCCGTTTCCAACGAAATCCTCAAAGCTATCCAAATATCCTCTTGCAGATTTTACAAAAAGTGTGTTTCAGAACTGCTCTATCAAAACAAAGGTTCAACACTGTCAGTTGAGGGCACACATCACAAATAAGTTTCTGAGAATGCTTCTGTCTAGTTTTCATGGGAAGATATTTCCTTTTTCACCATAGGCCTGAAAGCGATCCAAATGTCCACATCCAGATACTACAAAAAGAGTGTTTCCAACCTGCTCTATCAAAGGGAATGCTCAACTCTGTGAATTGAATGCAAACATCACAAAGAAGTTTACTGAGAATGCTGCTGTCTCCTTTTTATATGTAATCCCGTTTCCAACGAAATCCTCAAAGCTAGCCAAATATCCACTTGCAGATTCCACGAAAACAGTGTTTCAAAACTGCTCCTTCAAAACGATGGTTCAATCTTGTTAGTTGAGCAAACACATCACAAATAAGTTTCTGAGAATGCTTCCGTCTAGTTTTTATGGGAAGATATTTCCTTTTTCAACATAGGCCTGAAAGCGCTCCAAATGTCCACTTCCAGATACTACAAAAAGAGTGTTTCAAATCTGCTCTATGAATGGGAATGTTCTACTCTGTGACTTGAATGCAACATCCCAAAGAAGTTTCTGAGAATGCTTCTGTCTAGAGTTTATCTGAAGACATACCCGTTTCCAACGAAATCCTCCAAGCTATCCAAATATCCTCTTGCAGATTCTACAAAAAGAGTGTTTCAAAGCTGCTCTTTGCAAAGAAAGGTTCAACTCTGTCAGTAGAGGGCACACATCACGAACAAGTTTCTGAGAATGCTTCTGTCTAGTTTTTATGGGAAGATATTTCCTTTTTCACGTTAGGCCTGAAAGCACGCCAAATGTTCACTTATAGACACTTCAAAAAGAGTGTTTCAAACCTGCTCTGTGAAAGGGAATGTTCAACACTGTGACTTCAATTGAAACATCCCAAAGAAGTTTCTGAGAATGCTTCTGTCTAGAGTTTATCTGAAGACATTCCCGTTTCCCAAGAAATCCTCAAAGCTATCCAAATATCCTCTTGCAGATTCTACAAAAAGAGTGTTTCAAAACTGCTCTTTGCAAAGAAAGGTTCAACTCTGTCAGTAGAGGGCACACATCACAAACAAGTTTCTGAGAATGCTTCTGTCTAGTTTTTATGGGAAGATATTTCCTTTTTCACCTTACGCCTGAAAGCAATCCAAATGTTCACTTACAGACACTACAAAAAGAGTGTTTCAAACCTGCTCTGTGAAAGGGAGTGTTCAATTCTGTGACTTGAATGCAAACATCACAAAGTAGTTTCTGACAATGCTGCTGTCTGCTTTTTATACGTATTCCCGTTTCCAACGAAATCCTCCAAGCTGGCCTAATACCCACTTGCATATTCCACAAAAAGAGTGTTTCAAAACTGCTCTCTCAAAAGAAAGGTTCAACTCTGTTTGCTGAGTAGATACATCATGAAAAAAGTTCTGACATTGCTTCTATCTAGTTTTTATTGGAAGATATCTCCTTTTTCACCGTAGACCTGAAAGCGCTCCAAATGTCCACTTCCAGATAGTACAAAAAGAGTGTTTCAAACCTGCTCTATGAATGGGAATGTTCAACACTGGGACTTCAATTGAAACATCCCAAAGCAGTTTCTGAGAATGCTTCTGTCTAGAGTTTACATGAAGACATTCCCGTTTCCAACGAAATCCTCAAAGCTATCCAAATATCCTCTTGCAGATTTTACAAAAAGTGTGTTTCAGAACTGCTCTATCAAAACAAAGGTTCAACACTGTCAGTTGAGGGCACACATCACAAATAAGTTTCTGAGAATGCTTCTGTCTAGTTTTCATGGGAAGATATTTCCTTTTTCACCATAGGCCTGAAAGGGATCCAAATGTCCACATCCAGATACTACAAAAAGAGTGTTTCAAACCTGCTCTATGAAAGGGAATGTTCAACTCTGTGACTTGAATGCAAACATCACAAAGAAGTTTCTGAGAATGCTGCTGTCTGCTTTTTGTATGTAATCCCGTTTCCAACGAAATCCTCCCAGCTAGCCAAATATCCACTTGCAGATTCCGCAAAAAGAGTGTTTCAAAACTGCTCCTTCAAAACGATGGTTTAGTTCTGTTAGTTGAGTACATACATCACAGATAAGTTTCTGAGAATGCTTCTGTCTAGTTTTTCTGGGAGGATATTTCCTTTTTCAACACAAGCCTGAATGCGCTCCGAATGGACACTTCCAGATATGACAAAAGGCGTGTTTCAAACCTGCTCTCTCAAAGGGAATGTTGAACTCTGTGACTTCAATGCAAACATCACAAAGAAGTTTCTGAGAATGCTGCTGTCTGCTTTTTACATGTATTCCCGTTTCCAACGAAATCCTCAAAGCTGCCCTAATATCCACTTGCATATTCCACAAAAAGAGTGTTGCAAAACTGCTCTCTCAAAAGAAAGGTTCAACTCTGTTAGCTGAGTAGATCCATCACATAAAAGTTTCTGACATTGCTTCTATCTAGATTTTCTTGGAAGATATTTCCATTTTCACCGTCGTCCTGAAAGCGCTCCAAATGTCCACTTCCAGGGAATGCAGAAAGAGTGTTTCCAACCTGCTCTATAAAAGGGAATGTTCAACACTGGGACTTCAATCGAAACATCCCAACGAAGTTTCTGAGAATGCTTCTGTCTAGAGTTTATATGAAGCCATTCCCGTTTGCAACGAAATCCTCAAAGCTATCCAAATATCCTCTTGCAGATTTTACAAAAACAGTGTTTCAAAACTGCTCTATCAAAAGAAAGGTTCAACTCTGTTAGTTGAGGGCACACATCACAAATAAATTTCTGAGAATGCTTCTGTCTAGTTTTTACGGGAAGATATTTCCTTTTTCACCATACGCCTGAAAGCGCTCCAAATGTCCTCATCCAGATACTACAAAAAGAGTGTTTCCAACCTGCTCTATGAAAGGGAATGCTCAACTCTGTGACTTGAATGCAGACATCACAAAGAAGTTTCTGAGAATGCTGCTGTCTCCTTTTTATATGTAATCCCGTTTCCAACGAAATCCTCAAAGCTAGCCAAATATCCACTTGCAGATTCCACGAAAACAGTGTTTCAAAACTGCTCCTTCAAAACGATGGTTCAATTCTGTTAGTTGAGCAAACACATCACAAGTAAGTTTCTGAGAATGCTTCCGTCTAGTTTTTATGGGAAGATATTTCCTTTTTCAACATAGGCCTGAAAGCGCTCCAAATGTCCACTTCCAGATACTACAAAAAGAGTGTTTCAAATCTGCTCTATGCATGGGAATGTTCTACTCTGTGACTTGAATGCAACATCCCAAAGAAGTTTCTGAGAATGCTTCTGTCTAGAGTTTATCTGAAGACATACCCGTTTCCAACGAAATCCTCAAAGCTATCCAAATATCCTCTGGCAGATTCTACAAAAAGAGTGTTTCAAAGCTGCTCTTTGCAAAGAAAGGTTCAACTCTGTCAGTAGAGGGCACACATCACGAACAAGTTTCTGAGAATGCTTCTGTGCTAGTTTTTATGGGAAGATATTTCCTTTTTCACGTTAGGCCTGAAAGCACGCCAAATGTTCACTTATAGACACTACAAAAAGAGTGTTTCAAACCTGCTCTGTGAAAGGGAATGTTCAACACTGTGACTTCAATTGAAACATCCCAAAGAAGTTTCTGAGAATGCTTCTGTCTAGAGTTTATCTGAAGACATTCCCGTTTCCCAAGAAATCTTCAAAGCTATCCAAATATCCTCTTGCAGATTCTACAAAAAGAGTGTTTCAAAACTGCTCTTTGCAAAGAAAGGTTCAACTCTGTCAGTAGAGGGCACACATCACAAACAAGTTTCTGAGAATGCTTCTGTCTAGTTTTTATGGGAAGATATTTCCTTTTTCACGTTAGGCCTGAAAGCAATCCATATGTTCACTTACAGACACTACAAAAAGAGTGTTTCAAACCTGCTCTGTGAAAGGGAGTGTTCAATTCTGTGACTTGAATGCAAACATCACAAAGTAGTTTCTGACAATGCTGCTGTCTGCTTTTTATACGTATTCCCGTTTCCAACGAAATCCTCCAAGCTGGCCTAATACCCACTTGCATATTCCACAAAAAGAGTGTTTCAAAACTGCTCTCTCAAAAGAAAGGTTCAACTCTGTTTGCTGAGTAGATACATCATGAAAAAAGTTCTGACATTGCTTCTATCTAGTTTTTATTGGAAGATATCTCCTTTTTCACCGTAGACCTGAAAGCGCTCCAAATGTCCACTTCCAGATAGTACAAAAAGAGTGTTTCAAACCTGCTCTATGAATGGGAATGTTCAACACTGGGACTTCAATTGAAACATCCCAAAGCAGTTTCTGAGAATGCTTCTGTCTAGAGTTTACATGAAGACATTCCCGTTTCCAACGAAATCCTCAAAGCTATCCAAATATCCTCTTGCAGATTTTACAAAAAGTGTGTTTCAGAACTGCTCTATCAAAACAAAGGTTCAGCACTGTCAGTTGAGGGCACACATCACAAATAAGTTTCTGAGAATGCTTCTGTCTAGTTTTCATGGGAAGATATTTCCTTTTTCACCATAGGCCTGAAAGCGATCCAAATGTCCACATCCAGATACTACAAAAAGAGTGTTTCAAACCTGCTCTATGAAAGGGAATGTTCAACTCTGTGACTTGAATGCAAACATCACAAAGAAGTTTCTGAGAATGCTGCTGTCTGCTTTTTGTATGTAATCCCGTTTCCAACGAAATCCTCCCAGCTAGCCAAATATCCACTTGCAGATTCCGCAAAAAGAGTGTTTCAAAACTGCTCCTTCAAAACGATGGTTTAGTTCTGTTAGTTGAGTACATACATCACAGATAAGTTTCTGAGAATGCTTCTGTCTAGTTTTTATGGGAGGATATTTCCTTTTTCAACACAAGCCTGAATGCGCTCCGAATGGACACTTCCAGATATGACAAAAGGCGTGTTTCCAACCTGCTCTCTCAAAGGGAATGTTCAACTCTGTGACTTCAATGCAAACATCACAAAGAAGTTTCTGAGAATGCTGCTGTCTGCTTTTTACATGTATTCCCGTTTCCAACGAAATCCTCAAAGCTGCCCTAATATCCACTTGCATATTCCACAAAAAGAATGTTGCAAAACTGCTCTCTCAAAAGAAAGGTTCAACTCTGTTAGCTGAGTAGATCCATCACATAAAAGTTTCTGACATTGCTTCTATCTAGATTTTCTTGGAAGATATTTCCATTTTCACCGTCGTCCTGAAAGCGCTCCAAATGTCCACTTCCAGGGAATGCAGAAAGAGTGTTTCCAACCTGCTCTATAAAAGGGAATGTTCAACACTGGGACTTCAATCGAAACATCCCAACGAAGTTTCTGAGAATGCTTCTGTCTAGAGTTTATATGAAGCCATTCCCGTTTGCAACGAAATCCTCAAAGCTATCCAAATATCCTCTTGCAGATTTTACAAAAAGAGTGTTTCAAAACTGCTCTATCAAAAGAAAGGTTCAACTCTGTTAGCTGAGGGCACACATCACAAATAAACTTCTGAGAATGCTTCTGTCTAGTTTTTACGGGAAGATATTTCCTTTTTCACCATACGCCTGAAAGCGCTCCAAATGTCCTCATCCAGATACTACAAAAAGAGTGTTTCCAACCTGCTCTATGAAAGGGAATGCTCAACTCTGTGAATTGAATGCAGACATCACAAAGAAGTTTCTGAGAATGCTGCTGTCTCCTTTTTATATGTAATCCCGTTTCCAACGAAATCCTCAAAGCTAGCCAAATATCCACTTGCAGATTCCACGAAAACAGTGTTTCAAAACTGCTCCTTCAAAACGATGGTTCAATCCTGTTAGTTGAGCAAACACATCACAAATAAGTTTCTGAGAATGCTTCCGTCTAGTTTTTATGGGAAGATATTTCCTTTTTCAACATAGGCCTGAAAGCGCTCCAAATGTCCACTTCCAGATACTACAAAAAGAGTGTTTCAAATCTGCTCTATGAATGGGAATGTTCTACTCTGTGACTTGCATGCAACATCCCGAAGAAGTTTCTGAGAATGCTTCTGTCTAGAGTTTATCTGAAGACATACCCGTTTCCAACGAAATCCTCCAAGCTATCCAAATATCCTCTTGCAGATTCTACAAAAAGAGTGTTTCAAAGCTGCTCTTTGCAAAGAAAGGTTCAACTCTGTCAGTAGAGGGCACACATCACGAACAAGTTTCTGAGAATGCTTCTGTCTAGTTTTTATGGGAAGATATTTCCTTTTTCACGTTACGCCTGAAAGCACGCCAAATGTTCACTTATAGACACTACAAAAAGAGTGTTTCAAACCTGCTCTGTGAAAGGGAATGTTCAACACTGTGACTTCAATTGAAACATCCCAAAGAAGTTTCTGAGAATGCTTCTGTCTAGAGTTTATCTGAAGACATTCCCGTTTCCCAAGAAATCCTCAAAGCTATCCAAATATCCTCTTGCAGATTCTACAAAAAGAGTGTTTCAAAACTGCTCTTTGCAAAGAAAGGTTCAACTCTGTCAGTAGAGGGCACACATCACAAACAAGTTTCTGAGAATGCTTCTGTCTAGTTTTTATGGGAAGATATTTCCTTTTTCACCTTAGGCCTGAAAGCAATCCAAATGTTCACTTACAGACACTACAAAAAGAGTGTTTCAAACCTGCTCTGTGAAAGGGAGTGTTCAATTCTGTGACTTGAATGCAAACATCACAAAGTAGTTTCTGACAATGCTGCTGTCTGCATTTTATATGGATTCCCGTTTCCAACGAAATCCTCCAAGCTGGCTTAATATCCACTTGCATATTCCACAAAAAGACTGTTTTAAAACTGCTCTCTCAAAAGAAAGGTTGAACTCTGTTAGCTGAGTAGATATATCATGAAAAAGTTTCTGACATTGCTTCTATCTAGCTTTTATTGGAAGATATTTCCTTTTTCACCGTAGTCCTGAGAACGCTCTAAATGTCCACTTCCAGATACTACAAAAAGAGTGTTTCAAACCTGCTCTATGAAAGGGAATGTTCAACTCTGTGACTTGAATGCAAACATCACAAAGAAGTTTCTGAGAATGCTTCTGTCTAGAGTTTACATGAAGACACTCCCGTTTCCAACGAAATCCTCAGAGCTATCCAAATATCCTCTTGCAGATTTTACAAAAAGTGTGTTTCAGAACTGCTCTATCAAAACAAAGGTTCAACACTGTCAGTTGAGGGCACACATCACAAATAAGTTTCTGAGAATGCTTCTGTCTAGTTTTCATGGGAAGATATTTCCTTTTTCACCATAGGCCTGAAAGCGATCCAAATGTCCACATCCAGATACTACAAAAAGAGTGTTTCAAACCTGCTCTATGAAAGGGAATGTTCAACTCTGTGACTTGAATGCAAACATCACAAAGTAGTTTCTGAGAATGCTGCTGTCTGCTTTTTGTATGTAATCCCGTTTCCAACGAAATCCTCCCAGCTAGCCAAATATCCACTTGCAGATTCCGCAAAAAGAGTGTTTCAAAACTGCTCCTTCAAAACGATGGTTTAGTTCTGTTAGTTGAGTACATACATCACAGATAAGTTTCTGAGAATGCTTCTGTCTAGTTTTTATGGGAGGATATTTCCTTTTTCAACACAAGCCTGAATGCGCTCCGAATGGACACTTCCAGATATGACAAAAGGCGTGTTTCAAACCTGCTCTCTCAAAGGGAATGTTCAACTCTGTGACTTCAATGCAAACATCACAAAGAAGTTTCTGAGAATGCTGCTGTCTGCTTTTTACATGTATTCCCGTTTCCAACGAAATCCTCAAAGCTGCCCTAATATCCACTTGCATATTCCACAAAAAGAGTGTTGCAAAACTGCTCTCTCAAAAGAAAGGTTCAACTCTGTTAGCTGAGTAGATCCATCACATAAAAGTTTCTGACATTGCTTCTATCTAGATTTTCTTGGAAGATATTTCCATTTTCACCGTCGTCCTGAAAGCGCTCCAAATGTCCACTTCCAGGGAATGCAGAAAGAGTGTTTCCAACCTGCTCTATAAAAGGGAATGTTCAACACTGGGACTTCAATCGAAACATCCCAACGAAGTTTCTGAGAATGCT
>NC_000020.11:26608145-26634795 GCF_000001405.40 Homo sapiens | reverse complement strand
GAAGTATTGTCAGAAACTTGTTTGTGATGTGTTTACTCAACTAACAGAGTTGAACCTTTCTTTTGATAGAGCAGTTTTTTTTTTTTAAGAATATGCTATCCTTTATATAAAGGAGGAGGAAATATGGAAACAAGAACATACAAAGATACGTGTATATGTATGTATGTATCTGCATGTGTGTATATATACATATATATGTCTACACATGTGTATATATACATATACACGTCTACACATGTGTATACATACATATATGTATACACATATGTATACATACATAATCATGTAGATACATGCATACACACACATCTCACATGTGTTTGTTATATTTTCTTCTTTTGAAACTTTTATTTTATGTTTGAGGGTACATGTGAAGGTTTGTTATATAGTTAAACATGTTATTTGTTATATTTTCTTCGTTTTTTTAAGTTTTATTTTTTTATTTTTTTATTATACTTTAAGTTTTAGGGTAAATTTTTTTCTGTCTAGTTTTTACGGGAAGATATTTCCTTTTCACCATAGGCCTCCAAGCGCTCCAAATGTCCACTTCCACATACTACAAAAAGAGTGTTTCAAACCTGCTCTATGAAAGGGAATGTTCAACTCTGTGACTTGAATGCAAACATCACAAAGAAGTTTCTGAGAATGCTGCTGTCTCCTTTTTATATGTAATCCCGTTTCCAACGAAATCCTCAAAGCTAGCCAAATATCCACTTGCAGATTCCACGAAAACAGTGTTTCAAAACTGCTCCTTCAAAACGATGGTTCAATTCTGTTAGTTGAGCAAACACATCACAAGTAAGTTTCTGAGAATGCTTCCGTCTAGTTTTTATGGGAAGATATTTCCTTTTTCAACATAGGCCTGAAAGCGCTCCAAATGTCCACTTCCAGATACTACAAAAAGAGTGTTTCAAATCTGCTCTATGAATGGGAATGTTCTACTCTGTGACTTGAATGCAACATCCCAAAGAAGTTTCTGAGAATGCTTCTGTCTAGAGTTTATCTGAAGACATACCCGTTTCCAACGAAATCCTCAAAGCTATCCAAATATCCTCTTGCAGATTCTACAAAAAGAGTGTTTCAAAGCTGCTCTTTGCAAAGAAAGGTTCAACTCTGTCAGTAGAGGGCACACATCACAAACAAGTTTCTGAGAATGCTTCTGTCTAGTTTTTATGGGAAGAGATTTCCTTTTTCACGTTAGGCCTGAAAGCACGCCAAATGTTCACTTATAGACACTACAAAAAGACTGTTTCAAACCTGCTCTGTGAAAGGGAATGTTCAACACTGTGACTTCAATTGAAACATCCCAAAGAAGTTTCTGAGAATGCTTCTGTCTAGAGTTTATCTGAAGACATTCCCGTTTCCCAAGAAATCCTCAAAGCTATCCAAATATCCTCTTGCAGATTCTACAAAAAGAGTGTTTCAAAACTGCTCTTTGCAAAGAAAGGTTCAACTCTGTCAGTAGAGGGCACACATCACAAACAAGTTTCTGAGAATGCTTCTGTCTAGTTTTTATGGGAAGATATTTCCTTTTTCACCTTAGGCCTGAAAGCAATCCAAATGTTCACTTCCAGACACTACAAAAAGAGTGTTTCAAACCTGCTCTGTGAAAGGGAGTGTTCAATTCTGTGACTTGAATGCAAACATCACAAAGTAGTTTCTGACAATGCTGCTGTCTGCTTTTTATACGTAATCCCGTTTCCAACGAAATCCTTCAAGCTGGCCTAATACCCACTTGCATATTCCACAAAAAGAGTGTTTCAAAACTGCTCTCTCAAAAGAAAGGTTCAACTCTGTTTGCTGAGTAGATACATCATGAAAAAAGTTCTGACATTGCTTCTATCTAGTTTTTATTGGAAGATATCTCCTTTTTCACCGTAGACCTGAAAGCGCTCCAAATGTCCACTTCCAGATAGTACAAAAAGAGTGTTTCAAACCTGCTCCTATGAAAGGGAATGTTCAACACTGGGACTTCAATTGAAACATCCCAAAGCAGTTTCTGAGAATGCTTCTGTCTAGAGTTTACATGAAGACATTCCCGTTTCCAACGAAATCCTCAAAGCTATCCAAATATCCTCTTGCAGATTTTACAAAAAGTGTGTTTCAGAACTGCTCTATCAAAACAAAGGTTCAACACTGTCAGTTGAGGGCACACATCACAAATAAGTTTCTGAGAATGTTTCTGTCTAGTTTTCATGGGAAGATATTTCCTTTTTCACCATAGGCCTGAAAGCGATCCAAATGTCCACATCCAGATACTACAAAAAGAGTGTTTCAAACCTGCTCTATGAAAGGGAATGTTCAACTCTGTGACTTGAATGCAAACATCACAAAGAAGTTTCTGAGAATGCTGCTGTCTGCTTTTTGTATGTAATCCCGTTTCCAACGAAATCCTCCCAGCTAGCCAAATATCCACTTGCAGATTCCGCAAAAAGAGTGTTTCAAAACTGCTCCTTCAAAACGATGGTTTAGTTCTGTTAGTTGAGTACATACATCACAGATAAGTTTCTGAGAATGCTTCTGTCTAGTTTTTATGGGAGGATATTTCCTTTTTCAACACAAGCCTGAATGCGCTCCGAATGGACACTTCCAGATATGACAAAAGGCGTGTTTCAAACCTGCTCTCTCAAAGGGAATGTTCAACTCTGTGACTTCAATGCAAACATCACAAAGAAGTTTCTGAGAATGCTGCTGTCTGCTTTTTACATGTATTCCCGTTTCCAACGAAATCCTCAAAGCTGCCCTAATATCCACTTGCATATTCCACAAAAAGAGTGTTGCAAAACTGCTCTCTCAAAAGAAAGGTTCAACTCTGTTAGCTGAGTAGATCCATCACATAAAAGTTTCTGACGTTGCTTCTATCTAGATTTTGCTTGGAAGATATTTCCATTTTCACCGTCGTCCTGAAAGCGCTCCAAATGTCCACTTCCAGGGAATGCAGAAAGAGTGTTTCCAACCTGCTCTATAAAAGGGAATGTTCAACACTGGGACTTCAATCGAAACATCCCAACGAAGTTTCTGAGAATGCTTCAGTCTAGAATTTTTATGAAGAGACTCCCGTTTCCAACGAAATCCACAAAGCTATCCAATTATCCACTTGCAGATCCCACAAAAAGAGTGTTTCAAAACTGCTCTATCAAAAGAAAAGTTCATCTCTGTTAGTTGAGTGCGCACATCACAAAAAAGTTTCTGAGAGTGTTTCTGTCTAGTTTTTAAAGGATGATATTTTCTTTTTCACCATAGGCCTCAAAGCTCTTCAAATGTCCACTTCCAGATACTACAAAAAGAGTGTTTCAAACATGCTCTATGAAAGGGAATGTTCAACTCAGTGACATGAACGCAAACATCACAAAGAAGTTTCTGAGAATGCTGCTGTCTCCTTTTTATATGTAATCCCGTTTCCAACGAAATCCTCAAAGCTAGCCAAATATCCACTTGCAGATCCCACGAAAACAGTGTTTCAAAACTGCTCCTTCAAAACGATGGTTCAATTCTGTTAGTTGAGCAAACACATCACAAGTAAGTTTCTGAGAATGCTTCCGTCTAGTTTTTATGGGAAGATATTTCCTTTTTCAACATAGGCCTGAAAGCGCTCCAAATGTCCACTTCCAGATACTACAAAAAGAGTGTTTCAAATCTGCTCTATGAATGGGAATGTTCTACTCTGTGACTTGAATGCAACATCCCAAAGAAGTTTCTGAGAATGCTTCTGTCTAGAGTTTATCTGAAGACATACCCGTTTCCAACGAAAACCTCCAAGCTATCCAAATATCCTCTTGCAGATTCTACAAAAAGAGTGTTTCAAAGCCGCTCTTTGCAAAGAAAGGTTCAACTCTGTCAGTAGAGGGGACACATCAAGAACAAGTTTCTGAGAATGCTTCTGTCTAGTTTTTATGGGAAGATATTTCCTTTTTCACGTTAGGCCTGAAAGCACGCCAAATGTTCACTTATAGACACTACAAAAAGAGTGTTTCAAACCTGCTCTGTGAAAGGGAATGTTCAACACTGTGACTTCAATTGAAACATCCCAAAGAAGTTTCTGAGAATGCTTCTGTCTAGAGTTTATCTGAAGACATTCCCGTTTCCCAAGAAATCCTCAAAGCTATCCAAATATCCTCTTGCAGATTCTACAAAAGGAGTGTTTCAAAACTGCTCTTTGCAAAGAAAGGTTCAACTCTGTCAGTAGAGGGCACACATCACAAACAAGTTTCTGAGAGTGCTTCTGTCTAGTTTTTATGGGAAGATATTTCCTTTTTCACCTTAGGCCTGAAAGCAATCCAAATGTTCACTTACAGACACTACAAAAAGAGTTTTTCAAACCTGCTCTGTGAAAGGGAGTGTTCAATTCTGTGACTTGAATGCAAACATCACAAAGTAGTTTCTGACAATGCTGCTGTCTGCTTTTTATACGTATTCCCGTTTCCAACGAAATCCTCCAAGCTGGCCTAATACCCACTTGCATATTCCACAAAGGAGTGTTTCAAAACTGCTCTCTCAAAAGAAAGGTTCAACTCTGTTTGCTGAGTAGATACATCATGAAAAAAGTTCTGACATTGCTTCTATCTAGTTTTTATTGGAAGATATCTCCTTTTTCACCGTAGACCTGAAAGCGCTCCAAATGTCCACTTCCAGATAGTACAAAAAGAGTGTTTCAAACCTGCTCTATGAATGGGAATGTTCAACACTGGGACTTCAATTGAAACATCCCAAAGCAGTTTCTGAGAATGCTTCTGTCTAGAGTTTACATGAAGACATTCCCGTTTCCAACGAAATCCTCAAAGCTATCCAAATATCCTCTTGCAGATTTTACAAAAAGTGTGTTTCAGAACTGCTCTATCAAAACAAAGGTTCAACACTGTCAGTTGAGGGCACACATCACAAATAAGTTTCTGAGAATGCTCTGTCTAGTTTTCATGGGAAGATATTTCCTTTTTCACCATAGGCCTGAAAGCGATCCAAATGTCCACATCCAGATACTACAAAAAGAGTGTTTCCAACCTGCTCTATGAAAGGGAATGCTCAACTCTGTGAATTGAATGCAAACATCACAAAGAAGTTTCTGAGAATGCTGGCTGTCTCCTTTTTATATGTAATCCCGTTTCCAACGAAATCCTCAAAGCTAGCCAAATATCCACTTGCAGATTCCACGAAAACAGTGTTTCAAAACTGCTCCTTCAAAACGATGGTTCAATCCTGTTAGTTGAGCAAACACATCACAAATAAGTTTCTGAGAATGCTTCCGTCTAGTTTTTATGGGAAGATATTTCCTTTTTCAACATAGGCCTGAAAGCGCTCCAAATGTCCACTTCCAGATACTACAAAAAGAGTGTTTCAAATCTGCTCTATGAATGGGAATGTTCTACTCTGTGACTTGAATGCAACATCCCAAAGAAGTTTCTGAGAATGCTTCTGTCTAGAGTTTATCTGAAGACATACCCGTTTCCAACGAAATCCTCAAAGCTATCCAAATATCCTCTTGCAGATTCTACCAAAAGAGTGTTTCAAAGCTGCTCTTTGCAAAGAAAGGTTCAACTCTGTCAGTAGAGGGCACACATCATGAACAAGTTTCTGAGAATGCTTCTGTCTAGTTTTTATGGGAAGATATTTCCTTTTTCACGTTAGGCCTGAAAGCACGCCAAATGTTCACTTATAGACACTACAAAAAGAGTGTTTCAAACCTGCTCTGTGAAAGGGAATGTTCAACACTGTGACTTCAATTGAAACGTCCCAAAGAAGTTTCTGAGTATGCTTCTGTCTAGAGTTTATCTGAAGACATTCCCGTTTCCCAAGAAATCCTCAAAGCTATCCAAATATCCTCTTGCAGATTCTACAAAAAGAGTGTTTCAAAACTGCTCTTTGCAAAGAAAGGTTCAACTCTGTCAGTAGAGGGCACACATCACAAACAAGTTTCTGAGAATGCTTCTGTCTAGTTTTTATGGGAAGATATTTCCTTTTTCACCTTAGGCCTGAAAGCAATCCAAATGTTCACTTACAGACACTACAAAAAGAGTGTTTCAAACCTGCTCTGTGAAAGGGAGTGTTCAGTTCTGTGACTTGAATGCAAACATCACAAAGTAGTTTCTGACAATGCTGCTGTCTGCTTTTTATACGTATTCCCGTTTCCAACGAAATCCTCCAAGCTGGCCTAATACCCACTTGCATATTCCACAAAAAGAGTGTTTCAAAACTGCTCTCTCAAAAGAAAGGTACAACTCTGTTTGCTGAGTAGATACATCATGAAAAAAGTTCTGACATTGCTTCTATCTAGTTTTTATTGGAAGATATCTCCTTTTTCACCGTAGACCTGAAAGCGCTCCAAATGTCCACTTCCAGATAGTACAAAAAGAGTGTTTCAAACCTGCTCTATGAAAGGGAATGTTCAACACTGGGACTTCAATTGAAACATCCCAAAGCTGTTTCTGAGAATGCTTCTGTGTAGAGTTTACATGAAGACATTCCCGTTTCCAAAGAAATCCTCAAAGCTATCCAAATATCCTCTTGCAGATTTTACAAAAAGTGTGTTTCAGAAGTGCTCTATCAAAACAAAGGTTCAACACTGTCAGTTGAGGGCACACATCACAAATAAGTTTCTGAGAATGCTTCTGTCTAGTTTTCATGGGAAGATATTTCCTTTTTCACCATAGGCCTGAAAGCGATCCAAATGTCCACATCCAGATACTACAAAAAGAGTGTTTCAAACCTGCTCTATGAAAGGGAATGTTCAACTCTGTGACTTGAATGCTAACATCACAAAGAAGTTTCTGAGAATGCTGCTGTCTGCTTTTTGTATGTAATCCCGTTTCCAACGAAATCCTCCCAGCTAGCCAAATATCCACTTGCAGATTCCGCAAAAAGAGTGTTTCAAAACTGCTCCTTCAAAACGATGGTTTAGTTCTGTTAGTTGAGTACATACATCACAGATAAGTTTCTGAGAATGCTTCTGTCTAGTTTTTATGGGAGGATATTTCCTTTTTCAACACAAGCCTGAATGCGCTCCGAATGGACACTTCCAGATATGACAAAAGGCGTGTTTCAAACCTGCTCTCTCAAAGGGAATGTTCAACTGCTGTGACTTCAATGCAAACATCACAAAGAAGTTTCTGAGAATGCTGCTGTCTGCTTTTTACATGTATTCCCGTTTCCAACGAAATCCTCAAAGCTGCCCTAATATCCACTTGCATATTCCACAAAAAGAGTGTTGCAAAACTGCTCTCTCAAAAGAAAGCTTCAACTCTGTTAGCTGAGTAGATCCATCACATAAAAGTTTCTGACATTGCTTCTATCTAGATTTTCTTGGAAGATATTTCCATTTTCACCGTCGTCCTGAATGCGCTCCAATTGTCCACTTCCAGGGAATGCAGAAAGAGTGTTTCCAACCTGCTCTATGAAAGGGAATGTTCAACACTGGGACTTCAATTGAAACATCCCAAAGCAGTTTCTGAGAATGCTTCTGTCTAGAGTTTATATGAAGCCATTCCCGTTTGCAACGAAATCCTCAAAGCTGTCCAAATATCCTCTTGCAGATTTTACAAAAAGAGTGTTTCAAAACTGCTCTATCAAAAGAAAGGTTCAACTCTGTTAGTTGAGGGCACACATCACAAATAAACTTCTGAGAATGCTTCTGTCTAGTTTTTACGGGAAGATATTTCCTTTTTCACCATACGCCTGAAAGCGCTCCAAATGTCCTCATCCAGATACTACAAAAAGAGTGTTTCCAACCTGCTCTATGAAAGGGAATGCTCAACTCTGTGAATTGAATGCAGACATCACAAAGAAGTTTCTGAGAATGCTGCTGTCTCCTTTTTATATGTAATCCCGTTTCCAACGAAATCCTCAAAGCTAGCCAAATATCCACTTGCAGATTCCACGAAAACAGTGTTTCAAAACTGCTCCTTCAAAACGATGGTTCAATCCTGTTAGTTGAGCAAACACATCACAAATAAGTTTCTGAGAATGCTTCCGTCTAGTTTTTATGGGAAGATATTTGCTTTTTCAACATAGGCCTGAAAGCGCTCCAAATGTCCACTTCCAGATACTACAAAAAGAGTGTTTCAAATCTGCTCTATGAATGGGAATGTTCTACTCTGTGACTTGAATGCAACATCCCAAAGAAGTTTCTGAGAATGCTTCTGTCTAGAGTTTATCTGAAGACATACCCGTTTCCAACGAAATCCTCCAAGCTATCCAAATATCCTCTTGCAGATTCTACAAAAAGAGTGTTTCAAAGCTGCTCTTTGCAAAGAAAGGTTCAACTCTCTCAGTAGAGGGGACACATCAAGAACAAGTTTCTGAGAATGCTTCTGTCTAGTTTTTATGGGAAGATATTTCCTTTTTCACGTTACGCCTGAAAGCACGCCAAATGTTCACTTATAGACACTACAAAAAGAGTGTTTCAAACCTGCTCTGTGAAAGGGAATGTTCAACACTGTGACTTCAATTGAAACATCCCAAAGAAGTTTCTGAGAATGCTTCTGTCTAGAGTTTATCTAAAGACATTCCCGTTTCCCAAGAAATACTCAAAGCTATGCAAATATCCTCTTGCAGATTCTACAAAAAGAGGGTTTCAAAACTGCTCTTTGCAAAGAAAGGTTCAACTCTGTCAGTAGAGGGCACACATCACAAACACGTTTTTGATAATTCTTCTGTCTAGTTTTTATGGGAAGATATTTCCTTTTTACGTTAGGCCTGAAAGCACGCCAAATATTCACTTAGAGACACTACAAAAGGAGTGTTTCAAACCTGCTCTGTGAAACGGAATGTTCAACACTGTGACTTCAATTGAAACATCCCAAAGAAGTTTCTGAGAATGCCGCTGTCTGCTTTTTATACATATTCCCGTTTCCAACGAAATCCTCCAAGCTGGCCTAATACCCACTTGCATATTCCACAAAAATAGTGTTTCAAAACTGCTCTCTCAAAAGAAAGGTTCAACTCTGTTTGCTGAGTAGATACATCATGAAAAAAGTTCTGACATTGCTTCTATCTAGTTTTTATTGGAAGATATCTCCTTTTTCACCGTAGACCTGAAAGCGCTCCAAATGTCCACTTCCAGATAGCACAAAAAGAGTGTTTCAAACCTGCTCTATGAAAGGGAATGTTCAACACTGGGACTTCAATTGAAACATCCCAAAGCAGTTTCTGAGAATGCTTCTGTGTAGAGTTTACATGAAGACATTCCCGTTTCCAACGAAATCCTCAAAGCTATCCAAATATCCTCTTGCAGATTTTACAAAAAGTGTTTTTCAGAACTGCTCTATCAAAACAAAGGTTCAACACTGTCAGTTGAGGGCACACATCACAAATAAGTTTCTGAGAATGCTTCTGTCTAGCTTTCAGGGGAAGATATTTCCTTTTTCAGCATAGGCCTGAAAGCACTCCAAATGTCCACATCCAGATTCTACAAAAAGAGTTTTTCAATCCTGCTCTATGAAAGGGAATGTTCAACTCTGTGACTTGAATGCAAACATCACAAAGGAGTTTCTGAGAATGCTGCTGTCTGCTTTTTGTATGTAATCCCGTTTCCAACGAAATCCTCCCAGCTAGCCAAATATCCACTTGCAGATTCCGCAAAAAGAGTGTTTCAAAACTGCTCCTTCAAAACGATGGTTTAGTTCTGTTAGTTGATTACATACATCACAAATAAGTTTCTGAGAATGCTTCTGTCTAGTTTTTATGGGAGGATATTTCCTTTTTCAACACAAGCCTGAATGCGCTCCGAATGGACACTTCCAGATATGACAAAAGGCGTGTTTCAAACCTGCTCTCTCAAAGGGAATGTTCAACTCTGTGACTTCAATGCAAACATCACAAAGAAGTTTCTGAGAATGCTGCTGTCTGTTTTTTACATGTATTCCCGTTTCCAACGAAATCCTCAAAGCTGCCCTAATATCCACTTGCATATTCCACAAAAAGAGTGTTGCAAAACTGCTCTCTCAAAAGAAAGGTTCAACTCTGTTAGCTGAGTAGATCCATCACATAAAAGTTTCTGACGTTGCTTCTATCTAGATTTTATTGGAAGATATTTCCATTTTCACCGTCGTCCTGAAAGCGCTCCAAAGGTCCACTTCCAGGGAATGCAGAAAGAGTGTTTCCAACCTGCTCTATAAAAGGGAATGTTCAACACTGGGACTTCAATCGAAACATCCCAACGAAGTTTCTGAGAATGCTTCTGTCTAGAGTTTATATGAAGCCATTCCCGTTTGCAATGAAATCCTCAAAGCTATCCAAATATCCTCTTGCAGATTTTACAAAAAGAGTGTTTCACAACTGCTCTATCAAAAGAAAGGTTCAACTCTGTTAGTTGAGGGCACACATCACAAATAAATTTCTGAGAATGCTTCTGTCTAGTTTTTACGGGAAGATATTTCCTTTTTCACCATAGGCCTGAAAGCGCTCCAAATGTCCTCATCCAGATACTACAAAAAGAGTGTTTCCAACCTGCTCTATGAAAGGGAATGCTCAACTCTGTGAATTGAATGCAGACATCACAAAGAAGTTTCTGAGAATGCTGCTGTCTCCTTTTTATATGTAATCCCGTTTCCAACGAAATCCTCAAAGCTAGCCAAATATCCACTTGCAGATTCCACGAAAACAGTGTTTCAAAACTGCTCCTTCAAAACGATGGTTCAATTCTGTTAGTTGAGCAAACACATCACAAGTAAGTTTCTGAGAATGCTTCCGTCTAGTTTTTATGGGAAGATATTTCCTTTTTCAACATAGGCCTGAAAGCGCTCCAAATGTCCACTTCCAGATACTACAAAAAGAGTGTTTCAAATCTGCTCTATGAATGGGAATGTTCTACTCTGTGACTTGAATGCAACATCCCAAAGAAGTTTCTGAGAATGCTTCTGTCTAGAGTTTATCTGAAGACATACCCGTTTCCAACGAAATCCTCCAAGCTATCCAAATATCCTCTTGCAGATTCTACAAAAAGAGTGTTTCAAAGCTGCTCTTTGCAAAGAAAGGTTCAACTCTGTCAGTAGAGGGCACACATCATGAACAAGTTTCTGAGAATGCTTCTGTCTAGTTTTTATGGGAAGATATTTCCTTTTTCACGTTAGGCCTGAAAGCACGCCAAATGTTCACTTATAGACACTACAAAAAGAGTGTTTCAAACCTGCTCTGTGAAAGGGAATGTTCAACACTGTGACTTCAATTGAAATATCCCAAAGAAGTTTCTGAGAATGCTTCTGTCTAGAGTTTATCTGAAGACATTCCCGTTTCCCAAGAAATCCTCAAAGCTATCCAAATATCCTCTTGCAGATTCTACAAAAAGAGTGTTTCAAAACTGGTCTTTGCAAAGAAAGGTTCAACTCTGTCAGTAGAGGGCACACATCACAAACAAGTTTCTGAGAATGCTTCTGTCTAGTTTTTATGGGAAGATATTTCCTTTTTCACCTTAGGCCTGAAAGCAATCCATATGTTCACTTACAGACACTACAAAAAGAGTGTTTCAAACCTGCTCTGTGAAAGGGAGTGTTCAATTCTGTGACTTGAATGCAAACATCACAAAGTAGTTTCTGACAATGCTGCTGTCTGCTTTTTATACGTATTCCCGTTTCCAACGAAATCCTCCAAGCTGGCCTAATACCCACTTGCATATTCCACAAAAAGAGTGTTTCAAAACTGCTCTCCCAAAAGAAAGGTTCAACTCTGTTTGCTGAGTAGATACATCATGAAAAAAGTTCTGACATTGCTTCTATCTAGTTTTTATTGGAAGATATCTCCTTTTTCACCGTAGACCTGAAAGCGCTCCAAATGTCCACTTCCAGATAGTACAAAAAGAGTGTTTCAAACCTGCTCTATGAAAGGGAATGTTCAACACTGGGACTTCAATTGAAACATCCCAAAGCAGTTTCTGAGAATGCTTCTGTCTAGAGTTTACATGAAGACATTCCCGTTTCCAACGAAATCCTCAAAGCTATCCAAATATCCTCTTGCAGATTTTACAAAAAGTGTGTTTCAGAACTGCTCTATCAAAACAAAGGTTCAACACTGTCAGTTGAGGGCACACATCACAAATAAGTTTCTGAGAATGCTTCTGTCTAGTTTTCATGGGAAGATATTTCCTTTTTCACCATAGGCCTGAAAGCGATCCAAATGTCCACATCCAGATACTACAAAAAGAGTGTTTCAAACCTGCTCTATGAAAGGGAAGGTTCAACTCTGTGACTTGAATGCAAACATCACAAAGAAGTTTCTGAGAATGCTGCTGTCTGCTTTTTGTATGTAATCCCGTTTCCAACGAAATCCTCCCAGCTAGCCAAATATCCACTTGCAGATTCCGCAAAAAGAGTGTTTCAAAACTGTTCCTTCAAAACGATGGTTTAGTTCTGTTAGTTGAGTACATACATCACAGATAAGTTTCTGAGAATGCTTCTGTCTAGTTTTTATGGGAGGATATTTCCTTTTTCAACACAAGCCTGAATGCGCTCCGAATGGACACTTCCAGATATGACAAAAGGCGTGTTTCAAACCTGCTCTCTCAAAGGGAATGTTCAACTCTGTGACTTCAATGCAAACATCACAAAGAAGTTTCTGAGAATGCTGCTGTCTGCTTTTTACATGTATTCCCGTTTCCAACGAAATCCTCAAAGCTGCCCTAATATCCACTTGCATATTCCACAAAAAGTGTTGCAAAACTGCTCTCTCAAAAGAAAGGTTCAACTCTGTTAGCTGAGTAGATCCATCACAGAAAAGTTTCTGACGTTGCTTCTATCTAGATTTTATTGGAAGATATTTCCATTTTCACCGTCGTCCTGAAAGCGCTCCAAATGTCCACTTCCAGGGAATGCAGAAAGAGTGTTTCCAACCTGCTCTATAAAAGGGAATGTTCAACACTGGGACTTCAATCGAAACATCCCAACGAAGTTTCTGAGAATGCTTCTGTCTAGAGTTTATAAGAAGCCATTCCCGTTTGCAACGAAATCCTCAAAGCTATCCAAATATCCTCTTGCAGATTTTACAAAAAGAGTGTTTCAAAACTGCTCAATCAAAAGAAAGGTTCAACTCGGTTTGTTGATAGCACACATCACAAATAAAATTCTGAGAATGTTTTTGTCTAGTTTTTACGGGAAGATATTTCCTTTTTCACCATACGCCTGAAAGCGTTCCAAATGTCCTCATCCAGATACTACAAAGAGAGTGTTTCAAAACTGCTCTATAAAAGGGAATGCTCAACTCTGTGACTTGAATGCAACATCCCAAAGCAGTTTCTGAGAATGCTGCTGTCTCCTTTTTATATGTAATCCCGTTTCCAACGAAATCCTCAAAGCTAGCCAAATATCCACTTGCAGATTCCACGAAAACAGTGTTTCAAAACTGCTCCTTCAAAACGATGGTTCAATCCTGTTAGTTGAGCAAACTCATCACAAATAAGTTTCTGAGAATGCTTCCGTCTAGTTTTTATGGGAAGATATTTCCTTTTTCAACATAGGCCTGAAAGCGCTCCAAATGTCCACTTCCAGATACTACAAAAAGAGTGTTTCAAATCTGCTCTATGAATGGGAATGTTCTACTCTGTGACTTGCATGCAACATCCCAAAGAAATTTCTGAGAATGCTTCTGTCTAGAGTTTATCTGAAGACATACCCGTTTCCAACGAAATCCTCCAAGCTATCCAAATATCCTCTTGCAGATTCTACAAAAAGTGTGTTTCAAAGCTGCTCTTTGCAAAGAAAGGTTCAACTCTGTCAGTAGAGGGCACACATCACGAACAAGTTTCTGAGAATGCTTCTGTCTAGTTTTTATGGGAAGATATTTCCTTTTTCACGTTAGGCCTGAAAGCACGCCAAATGTTCACTTATAGACACTACAAAAAGAGTGTTTCAAACCTGCTCTGTGAAAGGGAATGTTCAACACTGTGACTTCAATTGAAACATCCCAAAGAAGTTTCTGAGAATGCTTCTGTCTAGAGTTTATCTGAAGACATTCCCGTTTCCCAAGAAATACTCAAAGCTATCCAAATATCCTCTTGTAGATTCTACCAAAAGAAGGTTTCAAAACTGCTCTTTGCAAAGAAAGGTTCAACTCTGTCAGTAGAGGGCACACATCACAAACAAGTTTCTGAGAATGCTTCTGTCTAGTTTTTATAGGCAGATATTTCCTTTTTCATGTTAGGCCTGAAATCACGCCAAATGTTCACTTAGAGACAGTACAAAAAGAGTGTTTCAAACCTGCTCTGTGAAAGGGAATGTTCAACACTCTGACTTCAATTGAAACATCCCAAAGAAGTTTCTGAGAATGCTGCTGTCTGCTTTTTATACGTATTCCCGTTTCCAACGAAATCCTCCAAGTTGGCCTAATACCCACTTGCATATTCCACAAAAAGAGTGTTTCAAAACTGCTCTCTCAAAAGAAAGGTTCAACTCTGTTTGCTGAGTAGATACATCATGAAAAAGGTTCTGACATTGCTTCTATCTAGTTTTTATTGGAAGATATCTCCTTTTTCACCGTAGACCTGAAAGCGCTCCAAATGTCCACTTCCAGATAGTACAAAAAGAGTGTTTCAAACCTGCTCTATGAATGGGAATGTTCAACACTGGGACTTCAATTGAAACATCCCAAAGCAGTTTGCTGAGAATGCTTCTGTCTAGAGTTTACATGAAGACATTCCCGTTTCCAACGAAATCCTCAAAGCTATCCAAATATCCTCTTGCAGATTTTACAAAAAGTGTGTTTCAGAACTGCTCTATCAAAACAAAGGTTCAACACTGTCAGTTGAGGGCACACATCACAAATAAGTTTCTGGGAATGCTTCTGTCTAGTTTTCATGGGAAGATATTTCGTTTTTCACCATAGGCCTTAAAGCGATCAAAATGTCCACATCCAGATACTACAAAAAGAGTGTTTCAAACCTGTTCTATGAAAGGGAATGTTCTACTCTGTGACTTGAATGCAAACATCATAAAGAAGTTCATGAGAATGCTGCTGTCTGCTTTTTGTATGTAATCCCGTTTCCAACGAAATCCTCCCAGCTAGCCAAATATCCACTTGCAGATTCCGCAAAAAGAGTGTTTCAAAACTGCTCCTTCAAAACGATGGTTTAGTTCTGTTAGTTGAGTACATACATCACAGATAAGTTTCTGAGAATGCTTCTGTCTAGTTTTTATGGGAGGATATTTCCTTTTTCAACACAAGCCTGAATGCGCTCCGAATGGACACTTCCAGATATGACAAAAGGCGTGTTTCAAACCTGCTCTCTCAAAGGGAATGTTCAACTCTGTGACTTCAATGCAAACATCACAAAGAAGTTTCTGAGAATGCTGCTGTCTGCTTTTTACATGTATTCCCGTTTCCAACGAAATCCTCAAAGCTGCCCTAATAATCACTTGCATATTCCACAAAAAGAGTGTTGCAAAACTGCTCTCTCAAAAGAAAGGTTCAACTCTGTTAGCTGAGTAGATCCATCACAGAAAAGTTTCTGACATTGCTTCTATCTAGATTTTCTTGGAAGATATTTCCATTTTCACCGTCGTCCTGAAAGCGCTCCAAATGTCCACTTCCAGGGAATGCAGAAAGAGTGTTTCCAACCTGCTCTATAAAAGGGAATGTTCAACACTGGGACTGCAATCGAAACATCCCAACGAAGTTTCTGAGAATGCTTCTGTCTAGAGTTTATATGAAGCCATTCCCGTTTGCAACGAAATCCTCAAAGCTATCCAAATATCCTCTTGCAGAATTTACAAAAAGAGTGTTTCAAAACTGCTCTATCAAAGGAAAGGTTCAACTCTGTTAGTTGAGGGCACACATCACAAATAAATTTCTGAGAATGCTTCTGTCTAGTTTTTACGGGAAGATATTTCCTTTTTCACCATACGCCTGAAAGCGCTCCAAATGTTCTCATCCAGATACTACAAAAAGAGTGTTTCCAACCTGCTCTATGAAAGGGAATGCTCAACTCTGTGAATTGAATGCAGACATCACAAAGAAGTTTCTGAGAATGCTGCTGTCTCCTTTTTATATGTAATCCCGTTTCCAACGAAATCCTCAAAGCTAGCCAAATATCCACTTGCAGATTCTACGAAAACATTGTTTCAAAACTGCTCCTTCAAAACGATGGTTCAATTCTGTTAGTTGAGCAAACACATCACAAGTAAGTTTCTGAGAATGCTTCCGTCTAGTTTTTATGGGAAGATATTTCCTTTTTCAACATAGGCCTGAAAGCGCTCCAAATGTCCACTTCCAGATACTACAAAAAGAGTGTTTCAAATCTGCTCTATGAATGGGAATGTTCTACTCTGTGACTTGCATGCAACATCCCAAAGAAGTTTCTGAGAATGCTTCTGTCTAGAGTTTATCTGAAGACATACCCGTTTCCAACGAAATCCTCAAAGCTTTCCAAATATCCTCTTGCAGATTCTACAAAAAGTGTGTTTCAAAGCTGCTTCTTTGCAAAGAAAGGTTCAACTCTGTCAGTAGAGGGCACACATCACGAACAAGTTTCTGAGAATGCTTCTGTCTAGTTTTTATGGGAAGATATTTCCTTTTTCACGTTAGGCCTGAAAGCACGCCAAATGTTCACTTATAGACACTACAAAAAGAGTGTTTCAAACCTGCTCTGTGAAAGGGAATGTTCAACACTGTGACTTCAATTGAAACATCCCAAAGAAGTTTCTGAGAATGCTTCTGTCTAGAGTTTATCTGAAGACATTCCCGTTTCCAAAGAAATCCTCAAAGCTATCCAAATATCCTCTTGCAGATTCTACAAAAAGAGTGTTTCAAAACTGCTCTTTGCAAAGAAAGGTTCAACTCTGTCAGTAGAGGGCACACATCACAAACAAGTTTCTGAGAATGCTTCTGTCTAGTTTTTATGGGAAGATATTTCCTTTTTCACCTTAGGCCTGAAAGCAATCCAAATGTTCACTTACAGACACTACAAAAAGAGTGTTTCAAACCTGCTCTGTGAAAGGGAGTGTTCAATTCTGTGACTTGAATGCAAACATCACAAAGTAGTTTCTGACAATGCTGCTGTCTGCTTTTTATACGTATTCCCGTTTCCAACGAAATCCTCCAAGCTGGCCTAATACCCACTTGCATATTCCACAAAAAGAGTGTTTCAAAACTGCTCCCTCAAAAGAAAGGTTCAACTCTGTTTGCTGAGTAGATACATCATGAAAAAAGTTCTGACATTGCTTCTATCTAGTTTTTATTGGAAGATATCTCCTTTTTCACCGTAGACCTGAAAGCGCTCCAAATGTCCACTTCCAGATAGTACAAAAAGAGTGTTTCAAACCTGCTCTATGAAAGGGAATGTTCAACACTGGGACTTCAATTGAAACATCCCAAAGCAGTTTCTGAGAATGCTTCTGTCTAGAGTTTACATGAAGACATTCCCGTTTCCAACGAAATCCTCAAAGCTATCCAAATATCCTCTTGCAGATTTTACAAAAAGTGTGTTTCAGAACTGCTCTATCAAAACAAAGGTTCAACACTGTCAGTTGAGGGCACACATCACAAATAAGTTTCTGAGAATGCTTCTGTCTAGTTTTCATGGGAAGATATTTCCTTTTTCACCATAGGCCTGAAAGCGATCCAAATGTCCACATCCAGATACTACAAAAAGAGTGTTTCAAACCTGTTCTATGAAAGGGAATGTTCAACTCTGTGACTTGAATGCAAACATCACAAAGAAGTTTCTGAGAATGCTGCTGTCTGCTTTTTGTATGTAATCCCGTTTCCAACGAAATCCTCCCAGCTAGCCAAATATCCACTTGCAGATTCCGCAAAAAGAGTGTTTCAAAACTGCTCCTTCAAAACGATGGTTTAGTTCTGTTAGTTGAGTACATACATCACAGATAAGTTTCTGAGAATGCTTCTGTCTAGTTTTTATGGGAGGATATTTCCTTTTTCAACACAAGCCTGAATGCGCTCCGAATGGACACTTCCAGATATGACAAAAGGCGTGTTTCAAACCTGCTCTCTCAAAGGGAATGTTCAACTCTGTGACTTCAATGCAAACATCACAAAGAAGTTTCTGAGAATGCTGCTGTCTGCTTTTTACATGTATTCCCGTTTCCAACGAAATCCTCAAAGCTGCCCTAATATCCACTTGCATATTCCACAAAAAGAGTGTTGCAAAACTGCTCTCTCAAAAGAAAGGTTCAACTCTGTTAGCTGAGTAGATCCATCACAGAAAAGTTTCTGACGTTGCTTCTATCTAGATTTTCTTGGAAGATATTTCCATTTTCACCGTCGTCCTGAAAGCGCACCAAATGTCCACTTCCAGGGAAAGCAGAAAGAGTGTTTCCAACCTGCTCTATAAAAGGGAATGTTCAACACTGGGACTTCAATCGAAACATCCCAACGAAGTTTCTGAGAATGCTTCTGTCTAGAGTTTATGTGAAGCCATTCTCGTTTGCAACGAAATCCTCAAAGCTATCCAAATATCCTCTTGCAGATTTTACAAAAAGAGTGTTTCAAAACTGCTCTATCAAAAGAAAGGTTCAACTCTGTTAGTTGAGGGCACACATCACAAATAAACTTCTGAGAATGCTTCTGTCTAGTTTTTACGGGAAGATATTTCCTTTTTCACCATAGGCCTGAAAGCGCTCCAAATGTCCTCATCCAGATACTACAAAAAGAGTGTTTCCAATCTGCTCTATGAAAGGGAATGCTCAACTCTGTGAATTGAATGCAGACATCACAAAGAAGTTTCTGAGAATGCTGCTGTCTCCTTTTTATATGTAATCCCGTTTCCAACGAAATCCTCAAAGCTAGCCAAATATCCACTTGCAGATTCCACGAAAACAGTGTTTCAAAACTGCTCCTTCAAAACGATGGTTCAATCCTGTTAGTTGAGCAAACACATCACAAATAAGTTTCTGAGAATGCTTCCGTCTAGTTTTTATGGGAAGATATTTCCTTTTTCAACATAGGCCTGAAAGCGCTCCAAATGTCCACTTCCAGATACTACAAAAAGAGTGTTTCAAATCTGCTCTATGAATGGGAATGTTCTACTCTGTGACTTGAATGCAACATCCCAAAGAAGTTTCTGAGAATGCTTCTGTCTAGAGTTTATCTGAAGACATACCCGTTTCCAACGAAATCCTCCAAGCTATCCAAATATCCTCTTGCAGATTCTACAAAAAGAGTGTTTCAAAGCTGCTCTTTGCAAAGAAAGGTTCAACTCTGTCAGTAGAGGGGACACATCAAGAACAAGTTTCTGAGAATGCTTCTGTCTAGTTTTTATGGGAAGATATTTCCTTTTTCACGTTACGCCTGAAAGCACGCCAAATGTTCACTGATAGACACTACAAAAAGAGTGTTTCAAACCTGCTCTGTGAAAGGGAATGTTCAACACTGACTTCAATTGAAACATCCCAAAGAAGTTTCTGAGAATGCTTCTGTCTAGAGTTTATCTGAAGACATTCCCGTTTCCCAAGAAATCCTCAAAGCTATCCAAATATCCTCTTGCAGATTCTACAAAAAGAGTGTTTCAAAACTGCTCTTTGCAAAGAAAGTTTCAACTCTGTCAGTAGAGGGCACACATCACAAACAAGTTTCTGAGAATGCTTCTGTCTAGTTTTTATGGGAAGATATTTCCTTTTTCACCTTAGGCCTGAAAGCAATCCAAATGTTCACTTACAGACACTACAAAAAGAGTGTTTCAAACCTGCTCTGTGAAAGGGAGTGTTCAATTCTGTGACTTGAATGCAAACATCACAAAGTAGTTTCTGACAATGCTGCTGTCTGCTTTTTATACGTATTCCCGTTTCCAACGAAATCCTTCAAGCTGGCCTATCATCCACTTGCATATTCCCCAAAAAAAGTGTTTCAAAACTGCTCTCTCAAAAGAAAGGTTCAAATCTGTTGGCTGAGTAGATACATCATGATAAAGTTTCTCACATTGCTTCTATCTAGTTTTTATTGGAAGATATCTCCTTTTTCACCGTAGACCTGAAAGCCCTACAAATGTCCACTTATAGACACTACAAAAAGAGTGTTTCAAACCTGCTCTATGAAAGGGAGTGTTCAACACTGTGACTTCAATTGAAACATCCCAAAGCAGTTTCTGAGAATGCTTCTGTCTAGAGTTTACATGAAGACATTCCCGTTTCCAACGAAATCCTCAAAGCTATCCAAATATCCTCTTGCAGATTTTACAAAAAGTGTGTTTCAGAACTGCTCTATCAAAACAAAGGTTCAACACTGTCAGTTGAGGGCACACATCACAAATAAGTTCCTGAGAATGCTTCTGTCTAGTTTTTACGGGAAGATATTTCCTTTTTCACCATACGCCTGAAAGCGCTCCAAATGTCCTCATCTAGATACTACAAAAAGAGTGTCTCAAACCTGCTCTATGAAAGGGAATGCTCAACTCTGTGACTTGAATGCAGACATCACAAAGAAGTTTCTGAGAATGCTGCTATCTCCTTTTTATATGTATTCCCGTTTCCAACGACATCCTCAAAGCTAGCCAAATATCCACTTGCAGATTCCACGAAAACAGTGTTTCAAAACTGCTCCTTCAAAACGATGGTTCAATTCTGTTAGTTGAGCAAACACATCACAAGTAAGTTTCTGAGAATGCTTCTGTCTGGTTTCTATTGGAAGGTATTTCCTTTTTCAACACAAGGTTGAATGCGCTTCAAATTGACACTTCCAGATATGACAAAAGGCATGTTTCCAACCTGCTCTATGATACGGAACGTTCAACTCTGTGACTTGAATGCAAACATCACAAAGAAGTTTCTCACAACGCTGCTGTCTGCTTTTTACATGTATTCCCGTTTCCAACGAAATCCTCAAAGCTGCCCTAATATCCACTTGCATATTCCACAAAAAGAGTGTTGCAAAACTGCTCTCTCAAAAGAAAGGTTCAACTCTGTTAGCTGAGTAGATCCATCACATAAAAGTTTCTGACATTGCTTCTATCTAGATTTTATTGGAAGATATTTCCATTTTCACCGTCGTCCTGAAAGCGCTCCAAATGTCCACTTCCAGGGAATGCAGAAAGAGTGTTTCCAACCTGCTCTATAAAAGGGAATGTTCAACACTGGGACTTCAATCGAAACATCCCAAAGAAGTTTCTGAGAATGCTTCTGTCTAGAGTTTATATGAAGCCATTCCCGTTTGCAACGAAATCCTCAAAGCTATCCAAATATCCTCTTGCAGATTTTACAAAAAGAGTGTTTCAAAACTGCTCTATCAAAAGAAAGGTTCAACTCTGTTAGTTGAGGGCACACATCCCAAATAAATTTCTGAGAATGCTTCTGTCTAGTTTTTACGGGAAGATATTTCCTTTTTCACCATACGCCTGAAAGCGCTCCAAATGTCCTCATCCAGATACTACAAAAAGAGTGTTTCCAACGTGCTCTAGGAAAGGGAATGCTCAACTCTGTGAATTGAATGCAGACATCACAAAGAAGTTTCTGAGAATGCTGCTGTCTGCTTTTTATATGTAATCCCGTTTCCAACGAAATCGTCAAATCTAGCTAAATATGCACTTGCAGATTCCACAAAAAGAGTGTTTCAAAACTGCTCCTTCAAAACGATTGTTGAATTCTGTTATTTGAGTACACACATCACAAATAAGTTTCTGAGAATGCTTCCGTCTAGTTTTTATGGGAAGATATTTCCTTTTTCAACATAGGCCTGAAAGCGCTCCAAATGTCCACTTCCAGATACTACAAAAAGAGTGTTTCAAATCTGCTCTATGAATGGGAATGTTCTACTCTGTGACTTGAATGCAACATCCCAAAGAAGTTTCTGAGAATGCTTCTGTCTAGAGTTTATCTGAAGACATACCCGTTTCCAACGAAATCCTCCAAGCTATCCAAATATCCTCTTGCAGATTCTACAAAAAGAGTGTTTCAAAGCTGCTCTTTGCAAAGAAAGGTTCAACTCTGTCAGTAGAGGGCACACATCATGAACAAGTTTCTGAGAATGCTTCTGTCTAGTTTTTATGGGAAGATATTTCCTTTTTCACGTTACCCCTGAAATCACGCCAAATGTTCACTTATAGACACCACAAAAAGAGTGTTTCAAACCTGCTCTGTGAAAGGGAATGTTCAACACTGTGACTTCAATTGAATCATCCCAAAGAAGTTTTTGAGAATGCTTCTGTCTAGAGTTTATCTGAAGACATTCCCGTTTCCCAAGAAATCCTCAAAGCTATCCAAATATCCTCCTGCAGATTCTACAAAAAGAGTGTTTCAAAACTGCTCTTTGCAAAGAAAGGTTCAACTCTGTCAGTAGAGGGCGCACATCACAAACAAGTTTCTGAGAATGCTTCTGTCTAGTTTTTATGGGAAGATATTTCCTTTTTCACGTTAGGCCTGAAAGTACGCCAAATGTTCAATTATAGACACTACAAAAAGAGTGTTTCAAACCTGCTCTGTGAAAGGGAATGTTCAACACTGTGACTTCAATTGAAACATCCCAAAGAAGTTTCTGAGAATGCTGCTGTCTAGAGTTTATCTGAAGACATTCCCGTTTCCCAAGAAATCCTCAAAGCTATCCAAATATCCTCTTGCAGATTCTACAAAAAGATGGTTTCAAAACTGCTCATTGCAAAGAAAGGTTCAACTCCGTCAGTAGAGGGCACATATCACAAACGAGTTTCGGAGAATGCTTCTGTCTAGTTTTTATGGGAAGATATTTCCTTTTTCACCTTAGGCCTGAAAGCAGTCCAAATGTTCACTTACACACACTACAAAAAGAGTGTTTCAAACCTGCTCTGTGAAAGGGAGTGTTCAATTCTGTGACTTGAATGCAAACATCACAAAGAAGTTTCTCACAATGCTCCTGTCTGCTTTTTATACGTATTCCCGTTTCCAACGAAATCCTCCAAGCTGGCCTAATACCCACTTGCATATTCCACAAAAAGAGTGTTTCAAAACTGCTCTCTCAAAAGAAAGGTTCAACTCTGTTTGCTGCGTAGATACATCATGAAAAAAGTTCTGACATTGCTTCTATCTAGATTTTCTTGGAAGATATTTCCTTTTTCACCGTAGACCTGAAAGCGCTCCAAATGTCCACTTCCAGATAGTACAAAAAGAGTGTTTCAAACCTGCTCTATGAAAGGGAATGTTCAACACTGGGACTTCAATTGAAACATCCCAAAGCAGTTTCTGAGAATGCTTCTGTCTAGAGTTTACATGAAGACATTCCCGTTTCCAACGAAATCCTCAAAGCTATCCAAATATCCTCTTGCAGATTTTACAAAAAGTGTTTTCAGAACTGCTCTATCAAAACAAAGGTTCAACACTGTCAGTTGAGGGCACACATCACAAATAAGTTTCTGAGAATGCTTCAGTCTAGTTTTCATGGGAAGATATATCCTTTTTCACCATAGGCCTGAAAGCAATCAAAATGTCCACATCCAGATACTACAAAAAGAGTGTTTCAAACCTGCTCTATGAAAGGGAATGTTCAACTCTGTGACTTGAATGCTAACATCACAAAGAAGTTTCTGAGAATGCTGCTGTCTGCTTTTTGTATGTAATCCCGTTTCTAACGAAATCCTCCAAGCTAGCCAAATATCCACTTGCAGATTCCGCAAAAAGAGTGTTTCAAAACTGCTCCTTCAAAACGATGGTTTAGTTCTGTTAGTTGAGTACATACATCACAAATAAGTTTCTGAGAATGCTTCTGTCTAGTTTTTATGGGAGGATATTTTCCTTTTTCAACACAAGCCTGAATGCGCTCCGAATGGACACTTCCAGATATGACAAAAGGCGTGTTTCAAACCTGCTCTCTCAAAGGGAATGTTCAACTCTGTGACTTCAATGCAAACATCACAAAGAAGTTTCTGAGAATGCTGCTGTCTGCTTTTTACATGTATTCCCGTTTCCAACGAAATCCTCAAAGCTGCCCTAATATCCACTTGCATATTCCACAAAAAGAGTGTTGCAAAACTGCTCTCTCAAAAGAAAGGTTCAACTCTGTTAGCTGAGTAGATCCATCACAGAAAAGTTTCTGACATTGCTTCTATCTAGATTTTTTTGGAAGATATTCCCATTTTCACCATCGTCCTGAAAGCGCTCCAAATGTCCACTTCCAGATACTACAAAAAGAGTGTTTCCAACCTGCGCTATAAAAGGGAATGTTCAACACTGGGACTTCAATCGCAACATCCGAAAGAAGTTTCTGAGAATGCTTCTGTCTAGAGTTTATATGAAGCCATTCCCATTTGCAACGAAATCCTCAAAGCTTTCCAAATATCCTCTTGCAGATTTTACAAAAAGAGTGTTTCAAAACTGCTCTATCAAAAGAAAGGTTCAACTCTATTAGTTGAGGGCACACATCACAAATAAATTTCTGAGAATGCTTATGTCTAGTTTTTACGGGAAGATATTTCCTTTTTCACCATACGCCTGAAAGCGCTCCAAATGTCCTCATCCAGATACTACAAAAAGAGTGTTTCCAACCTGCTCTATGAAAGGGAATGCTCAACTCTGTGAATTGAATGCAGACATCACAAAGAAGTTTCTGAGAATGCTGCTGTCTCCTTTGTATATGTAATCCCGTTTCCAACGAAATCCTCAAAGCTAGCCAAATATCCACTTGCAGATTCCACGAAAACAGTGTTTCAAAACTGCTCCTTCAAAACGATGGTTCAATCCTGTTAGTTGAGCAAACACATCACAAATAAGTTTCTGAGAATGCTTCCGTCTAGTTTTTATGGGAAGATATTTCCTTTTTCAACATAGGCCTGAAAGCGCTCCAAATGTCCACTTCCAGATACTTCAAAAAGAGTGTTTCAAATCTCCTCTATGAATGGGAATGTTCTACTCTGTGACTTGAATGCAACATCCCGAAGAAGTTTCTGAGAATGCTTCTGTCTAGAGTTTATCTGAAGACATACCCGTTTCCAACGAAATCCTCAAAGCTATCCAAATATCCTCTTGCAGATTCTACAAAAAGAGTGTTTCAAAGCTGTTCTTTGCAAAGAAAGGTTCAACTCTGTCAGTAGAGGGCACACATCACAAACAAGTTTCTGAGAATGCTTCTGTCTAGTTTTTATGGGAAGATATTTCCTTTTTCACGTTAGGCCTGAAAGCACGCCAAATGTTCACTTATAGACACTACAAAAAGAGTGTTTCAAACCTGCTCTGTGAAAGGGAGTGTTCAATTCTGTGACTTGAATGCAAACATCACAAAGTAGTTTCTGACAATGCTGCTGTCTGCTTTTTATACGTATTCCCGTTTCCAACGAAATCCTCCAAGCTGGCCTAATACCCACTTGCATATTCCACAAAAAGAGTGTTTCAAAACTGCTCTCTCAAAAGAAAGGTTCAACTCTGTTAGCTGAGTAGATACATCATGAAAAAAGTTCTGACATTGCTTCTATCTAGCTTTTATTGGAAGATAATTCCTTTTTCACCGCAGTCCTGAGAGCGCTCCAAATGTCCACTTCCAGATACTACCAAAAGAGTGTTTCAAACCTGCTCTATGAAAGGGACTGTTCAACACTGTGACTTCAGTTGAAACATCCCAATGAAGCCTTTGAGAATGCTTCTGTCTAGATTTTATATGAAGACAATCCCGTTTCCAACGAAATCCTCAAAGCTATCCAAATATCCTCTTGCAGATTTTACAAAAAGAGTGTTTCAAAACTGCTCTATCAAAAGAAAGTTTCAACACTGCTAGTTGAGGGCGCACATCACAAATAAGATTCTGAGAATGCTTCTGTCTAGTTTTCAGGAGAAGATATTTCCTTTTTCACCATAGGCCTGAAAGCGCTCCAAATGTCCACATCCAGATACTATAAAAAGAGTGTTTCAAACCTGCTCTCTGAAAGGGAATGTTCAACTCTGTGACTTGAATGCAAACATCACAAACAAGATTCTGGGAATGCTGCTGTCTGCTTTTTGTATGTAATCCCGTTTCCAACGAAATCCTCCCAGCTAGCCAAATATCCACTTGCAGATTCCGCAAAAAGAGTGTTTCAAAACTGCTCCTTCAAAACGATGGTTTAGTTCTGTTAGTTGAGTACATACATCACAGATAAGTTTCTGAGAATGCTTCTGTCTAGTTTTTATGGGAGGATATTTCCTTTTTCAACACAAGCCTGAATGCGCTCCGAATGGACACTTCCAGATATGACAAAAGGCGTGTTTCCAACCTGCTCTCTCAAAGGGAATGTTCAACTCTGTGACTTCAATGCAAACATCACAAAGAAGTTTGCTGAGAATGCTGCTGTCTGCTTTTTACATGTATTCCCGTTTCCAACGAAATCCTCAAAGCTGCCCTAATATCCACTTGCATATTCCACAAAAAGAGTGTTGCAAAAGTGCTCTCTCAAAAGAAAGGTTCAACTCTGTTAGCTGAGTAGATCCATCACAGAAAAGTTTCTGACGTTGCTTCTGTCTAGATTTTCTTGGAAGATATTTCCATTTTCACCGTCGTCCTGAAAGCGCTCCAAATGTCCACTTCCAGGGAATGCAGAAAGAGTGTTTCCAACCTGCTCTATAAAAGGGAATGTTCAACACTGGGACTTCAATCGAAACATCCCAACGAAGTTTCTGAGAATGCTTCTGTATAGCTTATATATGAAGAGATTCCCCTTTACAACGAAATCCTCAAAGCTATCCAAATATCCTCTTGCAGATTCTACAAAAAGAGCGTTTCAAAACTGCTCTATCAAAAGAAAGGTTCAAATCTGTTAGTTGAGTACACACATTCCAAAGAAGTTTCTGACAATGCT
>NC_000020.11:26596363-26608045 GCF_000001405.40 Homo sapiens | reverse complement strand
AGAGCAGTTCTGAACACTCTTTCTGTGGAACCTGCAAGTGGATATTTGGCTGGCTTTGACGATTTCGTTGGAAACGGGAATACATATAAAAAGCAGACAGCAGCGTTCTGAGAAACTACTTGGTGATGTTTGCATTCAAGTCACAGAATGGAACGTTCCCTTTCACAGAACAGGTTTGAAACACTCCTTTTGTCGTATCTGGAAGTGTCCATTTGGAGCGCATTCAGGCTTGTGTTGGAAAAGGAAATATCTTCCCATAAAAACCAGACAGAAGCCTTCTCGGCAACTTGTTTGTGATGTGTGCCCTCTACTAACAGAGTCGAACCTTTCTATTCATAGAGCAGTTTTGAAACACTCTTTTTGTAGAATCTGCAGGAGCATATTTGCATATCTTTGAGGATTTCGTTGGAAACGGGATTGTCTTCAGATAAAATCCAGACAGAAGCATTCTCAGAAACTTCTTTGGGATGTTTGCATTGACGTCACTGAGGAGAACATGCCCTTTCGTAGAGAAGGTTTGAAACACTCTCTTTGCAGTATCTGGAAGTGGACATTTGAAGCGGTTTCAGGCCTATGTTGAAAAAGGAAATATCTTCCCGTAACAACTGGACAGAAGCATTCTCAGAAGCTAGTCTCTGATGTGTGTCCTCAACTAACAGAGTTGAACATTTCTTTGGAGAGTATAGTTTTGAAACACTCTTTTTGTGGAGTCTGCAAGTGGATATTTGGCTGGATTTGAGGATTTCGTTGGAAACGGGATAAGGTATAAAAAGCAGACAGCAGCATTCTCAGCAATTTCTTTGTGATGTTTGCATTCAAGTCACAGAATTGAACATTCCCTTTCACAGAGCAGGTTTGAAACACTCTTTTTGTAGTGTCTGTAACTGGACTTTTGGAGCGCTTTCCGGCCTAAGGTGAAAAAGGACATATCTTCCCATAAAAACTAGACAGAAGCATTGTCAGAAACTTACTCGTGATGTGTGTCCTCAACTGACGGAGTAGAACCTTTCTTTTGATAGAGCAGTTTTGAAACACTCTTTTTGTAGAATCTCCAAGTGGATATTTGGATAGCTTTGAGGATTTCGTTGGAAACGGGAATATCTTCATATAAAACCTAGACAGAAGCATTCTCAGAAACTTCCTTGTGATGGTTGCATTCAAGTCACGGAGTTGAACATTGGCTTTCATAGAGCAGGTTGGAAACACTCTTTTTCCATTCCCTGGAAGTGGACATTTGGAGCGCATTGAGGCCTATGGTGAAAAAGGAAATATCTTCCCATAAAAACTAGACAGAAGCATTCTCAGAAACTTCTTTGTGATGTGTGTCCTCAACTGACAGAGTTGAACATGTCTTTTGAGAGAGCAGTTCTGAAACACTCTTTCTGTGGAACCTGCAAGTGGATATTTGGCTGGCTTTGACGATTTCGTTGGAAACGGGAATACATATAAAAAGCAGACAGCAGCGTTCTGAGAAACTACTTGGTGATGTTTGCATTCAAGTCACAGAATGGAACGTTCCCTTTCACAGAACAGGTTTGAAACACTCCTTTTGTCGTATCTGGAAGTGTCCATTTGGAGCGCATTCAGGCTTGTGTTGGAAAAGGAAATATCTTCCCATAAAAACCAGACAGAAGCCTTCTCGGCAACTTGTTTGTGATGTGTGCCCTCTACTAACAGAGTCGAACCTTTCTATTCATAGAGCAGTTTTGAAACACTCTTTTTGTAGAATCTGCAGGAGCATATTTGCATAGCTTTGAGGATTTCGTTGGAAACGGGATTGTCTTCAGATAAAATCCAGACAGAAGCATTCTCAGAAACTTCTTTGGGATGTTTGCATTGACGTCACTGAGGAGAACATGCCCTTTCGTAGAGAAGGTTTGAAACACTCTCTTTGCAGTATCTGGAAGTGGACATTTGAAGCGGTTTCAGGCCTATGTTGAAAAAGGAAATATCTTCCCGTAACAACTGGACAGAAGCATTCTCAGAAGCTAGTCTCTGATGTGTGTCCTCAACTAACAGAGTTGAACATTTCTTTGGAGAGTATAGTTTTGAAACACTCTTTTTGTGGAGTCTGCAAGTGGATATTTGGCTGGATTTGAGGATTCGTTGGAAACGGGATAAGGTATAAAAAGCAGACAGCAGCATTCTCAGCAATTTCTTTGTGATGTTTGCATTCAAGTCACAGAATTGAACATTCCCTTTCACAGAGCAGGTTTGAAACACTCTTTTTGTAGTGTCTGTAACTGGACTTTTGGAGCGCTTTCCGGCCTAAGGTGAAAAAGGACATATCTTCCCATAAAAACTAGACAGAAGCATTGTCAGAAACTTACTCGTGATGTGTGTCCTCAACTGACGGAGTAGAACCTTTCTTTTGATAGAGCAGTTTTGAAACACTCTTTTTGTAGAATCTCCAAGTGGATATTTGGATAGCTTTGAGGATTTCGTTGGAAACGGGAATATCTTCATATAAAACCTAGACAGAAGCATTCTCAGAAACTTCCTTGTGATGGTTGCATTCAAGTCACGGAGTTGAACATTGGCTTTCATAGAGCAGGTTGGAAACACTCTTTTTCCATTCCCTGGAAGTGGACATTTGGAGCGCTTTGAGGCCTATGGTGAAAAAGGAAATATCTTCCCATAAAAACTAGACAGAAGCATTCTCAGAAACTTCTTTGTGATGTGTGTCCTCAACTGACAGAGTTGAACATGTCTTTTGAGAGAGCAGTTCTGAACACTCTTTCTGTGGAACCTGCAAGTGGATATTTGGCTGGCTTTGACGATTTCGTTGGAAACGGGAATACATATAAAAAGCAGACAGCAGCGTTCTGAGAAACTACTTGGTGATGTTTGCATTCAAGTCACAGAATGGAACGTTCCCTTTCACAGAACAGGTTTGAAACACTCCTTTTGTCGTATCTGGAAGTGTCCATTTGGAGCGCATTCAGGCTTGTGTTGGAAAAGGAAATATCTTCCCATAAAAACCAGACAGAAGCCTTCTCGGCAACTTGTTTGTGATGTGTGCCCTCTACTAACAGAGTCGAACCTTTCTATTCATAGAGCAGTTTTGAAACACTCTTTTTGTAGAATCTGCAGGAGCATATTTGCATATCTTTGAGGATTTCGTTGGAAACGGGATTGTCTTCAGATAAAATCCAGACAGAAGCATTCTCAGAAACTTCTTTGGGATGTTTGCATTGACGTGACTGAGGAGAACATGCCCTTTCGTACAGAAGGTTTGAAACACTCTCTTTGCAGTATCTGGAAGTGGACATTTGAAGCGGTTTCAGGCCTATGTTGAAAAAGGAAATATCTTCCCGTAACAACTGGACAGAAGCATTCTCAGAAGCTAGTCTCTGATGTGTGTCCTCAACTAACAGAGTTGAACATTTCTTTGGAGAGTATAGTTTTGAAACACTCTTTTTGTGGAGTCTGCAAGTGGATATTTGGCTGGATTTGAGGATTTCGTTGGAAACGGGATAAGGTATAAAAAGCAGACAGCAGCATTCTCAGCAATTTCTTTGTGATGTTTGCATTCAAGTCACAGAATTGAACATTCCCTTTCACAGAGCAGGTTTGAAACACTCTTTTTGTAGTGTCTGTAACTGGACTTTTGGAGCGCTCTCCGGCCTAAGGTGAAAAAGGACATATCTTCCCATAAAAACTAGACAGAAGCATTGTCAGAAACTTACTCGTGATGTGTGTCCTCAACTGACGGAGTAGAACCTTTCTTTTGATAGAGCAGTTTTGAAACACTCTTTTTGTAGAATCTCCAAGTGGATATTTGGATAGCTTTGAGGATTTCGTTGGAAACGGGAATATCTTCATATAAAACCTAGACAGAAGCATTCTCAGAAACTTCCTTGAGATGGTTGCATTCAAGTCACGGAGTTGAACATTGGCTTTCATAGAGCAGGTTGGAAACACTCTTTTTCCATTCCCTGGAAGTGGACATTTGGAGCGCTTTGAGGCCTATGGTGAAAAAGGAAATATCTTCCCATAAAAACTAGACAGAAGCATTCTCAGAAACTTCTTTGTGATGTGTGTCCTCAACTGACAGAGTTGAACATGTCTTTTGAGAGAGCAGTTCTGAAACACTCTTTCTGTGGAACCTGCAAGTGGATATTTGGCTGGCTTTGACGATTTCGTTGGAAACGGGAATACATATAAAAAGCAGACAGCAGCGTTCTGAGAAACTACTTGGTGATGTTTGCATTCAAGTCACAGAATGGAACGTTCCCTTTCACAGAACAGGTTTGAAACACTCCTTTTGTCGTATCTGGAAGTGTCCATTTGGAGCGCATTCAGGCTTGTGTTGGAAAAGGAAATATCTTCCCATAAAAACCAGACAGAAGCCTTCTCGGCAACTTGTTTGTGATGTGTGCCCTCTACTAACAGAGTCGAACCTTTCTATTCATAGAGCAGTTTTGAAACACTCTTTTTGTAGAATCTGCAGGAGCATATTTGCATATCTTTGAGGATTTCGTTGGAAACGGGATTGTCTTCAGATAAAATCCAGACAGAAGCATTCTCAGAAACTTCTTTGGGATGTTTGCATTGACGTCACTGAGGAGAACATGCCCTTTCGTACAGAAGGTTTGAAACACTCTCTTTGCAGTATCTGGAAGTGGACATTTGAAGCGGTTTCAGGCCTATGTTGAAAAAGGAAATATCTTCCCGTAACAACTGGACAGAAGCATTCTCAGAAGCTAGTCTCTGATGTGTGTCCTCAACTAACAGAGTTGAACATTTCTTTGGAGAGTATAGTTTTGAAACACTCTTTTTGTGGAGTCTGCAAGTGGATATTTGGCTGGATTTGAGGATTTCGTTGGAAACGGGATAAGGTATAAAAAGCAGACAGCAGCATTCTCAGCAATTTCTTTGTGATGTTTGCATTCAAGTCACAGAATTGAACATTCCCTTTCACAGAGCAGGTTTGAAACACTCTTTTTGTAGTGTCTGTAACTGGACTTTTGGAGCGCTTTCCGGCCTAAGGTGAAAAAGGACATATCTTCCCATGAAAACTAGACAGAAGCATTCTCAGAAATTTACTCGAGATGTGTGTCCTCAACTGACGGAGTAGAACCTTTCTTTTGATAGAGCAGTTTTGAAACACTCTTTTTGTAGAATCTCCAAGTGGATATTTGGATAGCTTTGAGGATTTCGTTGGAAACGGGAATATCTTCATATAAAATCTAGACAGAAGCATTCTCAGAAACTTCCTTGTGATGGTTGCATTCAACTCACGGAGTTGAACATTGGCTTTCATAGAGCAGGTTGGAAACACTCTTTTTCCATTCCCTGGAAGTGGACATTTGGAGCGCTTTGAGGCCTATGGTGAAAAAGGAAATATCTTCCCATAAAAACTAGACAGAAGCATTCTCAGAAACTTCTTTGTGATGTGTGTCCTCAACTGACAGAGTTGAACATGTCTTTTGAGAGAGCAGTTTTGAAACACTCTTTTTGTGGAACCTGCAAGTGGATATTTGGCTGGCTTTGACGATTTCGTTGGACACGGGAATACATATAAAAAGCAGACAGCAGCGTTCTGAGAAACTACTTGGTGATGTTTGCATTCAAGTCACACAATGGAACGTTGCCTTTCATAGAACAGCTTTGAAACACTCCTTTTGTCGTATCTGGAAGTGTCCATTTGGAGCACATTCAGGCTTGTGTTGGAAAAGGAAATATCTTCCCATAAAAACCAGACAGAATCATTCTCGGCAACTTGTTTGGGATGTGTGCCCTCTACTAACAGAGTCGAACCTTTCTTTTCATAGAGCAGTTTTGAAACACTCTTTTTGTAGAATCTGCAGGAGCATATTTGCATATCTTTGAGGATTTCTTTGGAAACGGGATTGTCTTCAGATAAAATCCAGACAGAAGCATTCTCAGAAACTTCTTTGGGATGTTTGCATTGACGTCACAGAGGAGAACATGCCCTTTCGTAGAGAAGGTTTGAAACACTCTCTTTGCAGTATCTGGAAGTGGACATTTGAAGCGGTTTCAGGCTTATGTTGGAAAAGGAAATATCTTCCCTTAACAACTGGACAGAAGCATTCTCAGAAGCTAGTCTCTGACGTGTGTCCTCAACTAACAGAGTAGAACATTTCTTTTGACAGTACAGTTTTGAAACACTGTTTTTGTGGAGTCTGCAAGTGGATATTTGGCTAGATTTGAGGATTTCGTTGGAAACGGGATAAGGTATAAAAAGCAGACAGCAGCATTCTCAGCAACTTCTTTGTGATGTTTGCATTCAAGTCACAGAATTGAACATTCCCTTTCACAGAGCAGGTTTGAAACACTCTTTTTGTAGTGTCTGTAACTGGACTTTTGGAGCGCTTTCCGGCCTAAGGTGAAAAAGGACATATCTTCCCATAAAAACCAGACAGAAGCATTGTCAGAAACTTACTCACGATGTGTGTCCTCAACTAAGGGAGTAGAACCTTTCTTTTGATAGAGCAGTTTTGAAACACTCTTTTTGTAGAATCTCAAAGCGGATATTTGGATAGATTTGAGGATTTCGTTGGAAACGGGAATATCTTCATATAAAATCTAGACAGAAGCATTCTCAGAAACTTCCTTGTGATGTTTGCATTCAAGTCACGGAGTTGAACATTCGCTTTCATAGAGCAGGTTGGAAACACTCTTTTTCCATTCCCTGGAAGTGGACATGTGGAGCGGTTTGAGGCCTATGGTGAAAAAGGAAATATCTTCCCATAAAAACTAGACAGAAGCATTCTCAGAAACTTCTTTGGGATGTGTGTCCTCAACTGACACAGTTGAATATTTCTTTTGAGAGAGCAGTTTTGAAACTCTCTTTTTGTGGAATCTGCAAGTGGATATTTTGCTGGCTTTGACGATTTCGTTGGAAACGGGAATACATATAAAAAGCAGACAGCAGCGTTCTGAGAAACTTCTTGGTGATGTTTGCATTCAAGTCACGGAATGGAACGTTCCCTTTCATAGAACAGGTTTGAAACACTCCTTTTGTCGTATCTGGAAGTGTCCCTTTGGAGCGCATTCAGGCTTGTGTTGAAAAAGGAAATATCTTCCCATAAAAACTAGACAGAAGCATTCTCAGCAACTTGTTTGTGCTGTGTGCCCTCTACTAAGAGAGGTGAACCTTTCTTTTCATAGAGCAGTTTTGAAACACTCTGTTTGTAGAGTCTGCAGTTGAATATTTGCATAGATTTGAGGATTTCTTTGGAAACGGGATTGTCTTCACATAAAATCCAGACAGAAGCATTCTCAGCAACTTCTTTGGGAGATTTGCATACAAGTCACAGAGGAGAACATGCCCTTTCGTAGAGAAGGTTTGAAACACTCTTTTTGTAGTATCTGGAAGTGGACATTTGGAGCGGTTTCAAGATTATGTTGAAAAAGGAAATATCTTCCCGTAACAACTGGACAGAAGAATTCTCAGGAGCTAGTCTCTGATGTGTGTCCTCAACTAAGAGAGTTGAACATTTCTTTAGACAGAACTGTTTTGAAACTCTCTTTTTGTGGAGTCTGCAAGTGGATATTTGGCTAGATTTGAGGATTTCGTTGGAAACGGGATTACGTATAAAAAGCAGACAGCAGCATTCTCAGAAACTTCGTTGTGATGTTTGCATTCAAGTCTCAGAATTGAACATTCCCTTTCACAGAGCAGGTTTGAAACACTCTTTTTGTAGTGTCTGTAACTGGACTTTTGGAGCGCTTCGAGGCCTATGGTGAAAAAGGAAATATCTTCCCATAAAACCTAGACATAAGCATTCTCAGAAACTTACTCGTGATGTGTGTCCTCAACTAACGGAGTAGAACCTTTCTTTTGATAGAGCAGTTTTGAAACACTCTTTTTGTAGGATCTGCAAGTTGATATTTGGATAGCTTTGAGGATTTCGTTGGAAAAGGGATTACGAATAAAAAGCCGACAGCAGCAATTCGCAGAAACTTCTTTTTGATGTTTGCACTCAAGTCTCTGAATTGAACATTCCCTTTCAGAGTGCAGTTTTGAAACACTCTTTTTGTAGTGTCTGTAAGCGGACCTTTGGAGCGCTTTCCGGCCTAAGGCGAAAAAGCTCTTATCTTCCCATATGATTCTGTCAAGTTTTTATGGGAAGATATTTCCTTTTTAAACAGAAGCCTGAATGCGCTCCAAATGGACACTGTCAGATACGACAAAAGGTGTGTTTCAAACCTGTTCTATGAAAGGGAACGTTCCATTCTGTGACTTGAATGCAAACATCACCAAGAAGTTTCTCAGAACGCTGCTGTCTGCTTTTTATATGTATTCCCGTTTCCAACGAAATCGTCAAAGCCAGCCAAATATCCACTTGCAGGTTCCACAAAAAGAGTGTTTCAAAACTGCTCTCTCAAAAGAAATGTTCAACTCTGTTAGTTGAGGACACACATCACAAATAAGTTTCTGAGAATGCTTCTGTCTAGTTTTTATGGGAAGATAATTCCTTTTTCACCATAGGCCTCGAAGCGCTCCAAATGTCCACTTCCAGGGAATGGAAAAAGAGTGTTTCCAACCTGCTCTATGAAACCGAATGTTCAACTCTGTGACTTTAATGCAACCATCACAAGGAAGTTTCTGAGAATGCTTCTGTCTAGATTTTATATGAAGATATTCCCGTTTCCAATGAAATCCTCAAAGCTATCCAAATATCCACATGCAGATTCTACAAAAAGATTGTTTCAAAACTGCTCTATTAAAAGAAAGGTTCTATTCCGTTAGTTGAGGACACACATCACGAGTAAGTTTCTGAGAATGCTTCTGTCTGGTTTTTATGGGAAGATATGTCCTTTTTCACCTTAGGCCGGAAAGCGCTCCAAAGGTCCACTTACAGACACTACAAATAGAGTGTTTCAAACCTGCTCTGTGAAAGGGAATGTTCAATTCTGTGACTTGAATGCAAACATCACAAAGAAGTTTCTGAGAATGCTGCTGACGGGTTTTTATATGTAATCCCGTTTCCAACGAAATCCTAAAAATTTAGCCAAATATCCACTTGCAGACTCCACAAAAAGAGTGTTTCAAAACTGTTCTGTCAAAAGAAATGTTCAACTCTGTTAGTTGAGCACACACATCAGAGACTAGCTTCTGAGAATGCTTCTGTCCAGTTGTTAAGGGAAGATATTTCCTTTTTCAGCATAGGCCTGAAACTGCTCCAAATGTCCACTTCCAGATACTGCAAAGAGAGTGTTTCAAACCTTCTCTACGAAAGGGCATGTTCTCCTCTGTGACTTGTATGCAAACATCCCAAGGAAGTTTCTGAGAATGCTTCTGTCTGGATTTTATCTGAAGACAATCCCGTTTCCAACGAAATCCTCAAAGCTATGCAAATATCCTCCTGCAGGTTCTACAAAAAGAGTGTTTCAAAACTGCTGTATGAAAAGAAAGGTTCAACTCTGTTAGTAGAGGTCACACATCACAAACAAGTTGCTGAGAATGCTTCTGTCTAGTTTTTATGGGAAGATATTTCCTTTTTCAACACAAGCCTGAATGCGATCCAAATGGACACTTCCAGATACGACAAAAGGAGTGTTTCAAACCTGTTCTATGAAAGGGAACGTTCCATTCTGTGACTTGAATGCAAACATCAACAAGTAGTTTCTCATAACGCTGCTGTCTGCTTTTTATATGTATTCCCGTTTCCAAGGAAATCGTCAAAGCCAGCCAAATATCCACTTGCAGATTCCACAAAAAGAGTGTTTCAAAACTGCCCTCTCAAAAGAAATGTTCAACTCTGTCAGTTGAGGACACACATCACAAATAAGTTTCTGAGAATGCTTCTATCTAGTTTTGATGGGAAGACACTCCCTTTTTCACCATAGGCCTCCAAGCGCTCCAAATGTCCACTTCCAGGGAAAGGAAAAAGAGTGTTTCCAACCTCCTCTATGAAAGCGAATGTTCAACTCAGTGACTTGAATGCAACCATCACAAGGAAGTTTCTGAGAATGCTTCTGTCTAGATTTTATATGAAGATATTCCCGTTTCCAACGAAATCCTCAAAGCTATGCAAATATCCACTTGCAGATTCTACAAAAAGAGTGTTTCAAAACTCCTCTATCAAAAGAAAGGTTCTATTCCGTTAGTTGAGGGCACACATCACGAGTAAGTTTTTGAGAATGCTTCTTTCTAGTTCTTATGGGAAGATATGTCCTTTTTCACCTTAGGCCTGAAAGTGCTCCAAAGGTCCACTTACAGACACTACAAAAAGAGTGTTTCAAACCTGCTCTGTGAAAGGGAATGTTCATTTCTGTGACTTGAATGCAAACATCACAAAGAAGTTTCTGAGAATGCTGCATTCTGCTTTTTATACGTACTCACGTTTCCAACGAAATCTTCAAATCTAGCCAAATATCCACTTGCAGACTCCACAAAAAGAGTTTCAAAACTGTTCTGTCTAAAGAAATGTTCAACTCTGATAGTTGAGGACACACATCAGAGGCTAGCTTCTGAGAATGCTTCTGTCCAGTTGTTACGGGAAGATATTTGCTTTTTCAACATAGTCCTGAAACCGCTCCAAATGTCCACTTCCAGATACTACAAAAACAGTGTTTGAAAACTTCTCTACGAAAAGGCATGCTCTCCTCTGTGACGTGAATGCAAACATCCCAAAAAAGTTTCTGAGAGTGCTTCTGTCTGGATTTTATCTGAAGACAATCCCGTTTCCAACGAAATCCTCAAATCTATACAAATATCCTCCTGCAGATTCTACAAAAAGAGTGTTTCAAAGCTGCTCTATGAAAAGAAAGGTTCAACTCTGTTAGTAGAGGGCACACATCACAAACAAGTTGCTGAGAATGCTTCTGTCTAGTTTTTATGGGAAGATATTTCCTTTTTCAACACAAGCCTGAATGCGCTCCAAATGGACACTTCCAGATACGACAAAAGGAGAGTTTCAAATCAGTTCTATGAAAGGGAACGTTCCATTCTGTGACTTGAATGCAAACATCACCAAGAAGTTTCTCAGAACGCTGCTGTCTGCTTTTTATATGTATTTCCGTGTCCAACGAAATCATCAAAGCCAGCCAAATATCCACTTGCAGATTCCACAAAAAGAGTGTTTCAAAACTGCTCTCTCAAAAGAAATGTTCTAATCTGTTAGTTGAGGACATACATCACAAATAAGTTTCTGAGAATGCTTCTGTCTAGTTTTTATGGGAAGATATTTCCTTTTTCACCATTGGCCTCGAAGCACTCCAAATGTCCACTTCCAGGGAATGGAAAAAGAGTGTTTCCAACCTGCTCTATGAAAGCGAATGTTCAACTCCATGATTTGAATGCAACCATCACAAGGAAGTTTCTGAGAATTCTTCTGTCTAGATTTCATATGAATATATTCCCGTTTCCAATGAAATCCTCAAAGCTATCCAAATATCCACTTGCAGATTCTACAAAAAGAGTGTTTCAAAATTGCTCAATCAAAAGAAAGGTTCTACTCCATTAGTTGAGGACACACATCACGAGTAAGTTTCTGAGAATGCTTCTGTCTGGTTTTTATGGGAAGATATGTCCTTTTTCACCTTAGGCCGGAAAGCGCTCCAAAGATCCACTTACAGACACTGCAAATAGAGTGTTTCAAACCCGCTCTGTGAAAGGGAATGTTCCAATTCTGTGACTTGAATGCAACATCACAAAGAAGTTCTGAGAATGCTGCTGTCGGCTTCTTATACGTATTCCCGTTTCCA
>NC_000020.11:26587055-26590875 GCF_000001405.40 Homo sapiens | reverse complement strand
CCAAATGTCCACTTCCAGGGAATGGAAAAAGAGTGTTTCCATCCTGCTCTATGAAAGCGAATGTTCAACTCCGTGACTTGAATGCAACCATCACAAGGAAGTTTCTGAGAATGCTTCTGTCTAGATTTTATATGAAGATATTCCCGTTTCCAACGAAATCCTCAAAGCTATCCAAATATCCACTTGCAGATCCTACAAAAAGAGTGTTTCAAAACTGCTCTATCAAAAGAAAGCTTCTACTCCATTAGTTCAGGTCACATATCACGAGTAAGTTTCTGAGAATGCTTGTGTCTAGTTTTTATGGGAAGATATGTCCTTTTTCACCTTAGGACGGAGAGCGCTCCAAAGGTCCACTTACACACACTACAAAAAGAGTGTTTTACACCTGCTCTGTGAAAGGGAATGTTCAATTCTGTGACTTGAATGCAAACATCACAAAGAAGTTTCTGAGAATGCTGCTGTCTGCTTTTTATACGTAATCCCGTTTCCAACGAAATCCTCAAATCTAGCCAAATATCCACTTGCAGACTCCACAAAAAGAGTGTTTCAAAACTGTTCTGTCTAAAGAAATGTTCAACTCTGTTAGTTGAATTCACACATGAGAGACTAGCTTCTGATAATGCTTCTGTCCAGTTGTTACGGGAAGATATTTCCTTTTTCAACATAGGCCTGAAACCGCTCCAAATGTCCACTTCCAGATACTACAAAAAGAGTGTTTCAAACCTTCTCTACGAAACGGCATGTTCTCCTCTGTGACTTGAATGCAAACATCCCAAAGAGGTTTCTGAGAATGCTTCTGTCTGGATTTTATCTGAAGACAATCCCGTTTCCAACGAAATCCTCAAACTATGCAAATATCCTCCTGCAGATTCTACAAAAAGAGTGTTTCAAAACTGCTCTATGAAAAGAAAGGTTCAACTCTGTTAGTAGAGGGCACACATCACAAACAAGTTGCTGAGAATGCTTCTCTCTAGTTTTTATGGGAAGATATTTCCTTTTTCAACACAAGCCTGAATGCGATCCAAATGGACACTTCCAGTTACGACAAAAGGACAGATTCAAACCTGTTCTATGAAAGGGAACGTTCCATTCTGTGACTTGAATGAAAACATCACCAAGAAGTTTCTGAGAACGCTGCTGTCTGCTTTTTATATGTATTCCCGTTTCCAACAAAATCGTCAAAGCCAGCCAAATATCCACTTGCAGATTCCACAAAAAGAGTGTTTCAAAACTGCTCGCTCAAAAGAAATGTTCAACAATGTCAGTTGAGGACACACATCACAAATAAGTTTCTGAGAACGCTTCTATCTAGTTTTGATGGGAAGATATTTCCTTTTTCACCATAGGCCTCAAAGCGCTCCAAATGTCCACTTCCAGGGAATGGAAAAAGAGTGTTTCCAACCTGCTCTATGAAAGCGAATGTTCAACTCCGTGACTTGAATGCAACCATCACAAGGAAGTTTCTGAGAATGCTTCTGTCTAGATTTTATATGAAGATATTCCCGTTTCCAAGGAAATCCTCAAAGCTATCCAAATATCCACTTGGAGATTCTACAAAAAGAGTGTTTCAAAACTGCTCTATCAAAAGAAAGGTTCTACTCCGTTAGTTGAGGACACACATCACTAGTAACTTTCTGAGAATGCTTCTGTCTAGTTTTTATGGAAAGATATGTCCTTTTTCACCTTAGGTCGGAAAGCGCTCCAAACGTCCACTTACAGACACTACAAAAAGAGTGTTTTACACCTGCTCTGTGAAAGGGAATGTTCAATTCTGTGACTTGAATGCCAACATCACAAAGAAGTTTCTGAGAATGCTGCTGTCTGCTTTTTATACGTAATCCCGTTTCCAACGAAATCCTCAAATCTAGCCAAATACCCACTTGCAGACGCCACAAAAAGAGTGTTTCAAAACTGTTCTGTCTAAAGAAATGTTCAACTCTGTTAGTTGAAGTCACACATGAGAGACTAGCTTCTGATAATGCTTCTCTCCACTTGTTACGGGAAGATATTTCCTTTTTCAACATACGCCTGAAACCGCTCCAAATGTCCACTTCCACATACTACAAAAAGAGTGTTTCAAACCTTCTCTACGAAAGGGCATGTTCTCCTCTGTGACTTGAATGCAAACATCCCAAAGAAGTTTCTGAGAATGCTTCTGTCCGGATTTTATCTGAAGAAAATCCCGTTTCCAACGAAATCCTTAAACTATGCAAATACCCTCCTGCAGATTCTACAAAAAGAGTGTTTCAAAACTGCTCTATGAAAAGAAAGGTTCAACTCTGTTAGTAGAGGGCACACATCACAAACAAGTTGCTGAGAATGCTTCTGTCTAGTTTTTATGGGAAGATATTTCCTTTTTCAACACAAGCCTGAATGCGATCCAAATGGACACTTCCAGTTACGACAAAAGGAGAGTTTCAAACCTGTTCTATGAAAGGGAACGTTCCATTCTGTGACTTGAATGAAAACATCACCAAGAAGTTTCTGAGAACGCTGCTGTCTGCTTTTTATATGTATTCCCGTTTCCAACGAATTCGTCAAAGCCAGCCAAATATCGACTTGCAGATTGCACAAAAAGAGTGTTTCAAAACTGCTCTCTCAAAAGAAATGTTCAACTCTGTCAGTTGAGGACACACATCACAAATAAATTTCTGAGAATGCTAATGTCTAGTTTTTATGGGAAGATGTTTCCTTTTTCACCATAGGCCTCGAAGCGCTCCAAATGTCCACTTCCAGGGAATGGAAAATGAGTATTTCCAACCTGCTCTATGAAAGCGAATGCTCAACTCTGTGAATTGAATGCAACCATCACAAGGAAGTTTCTGAGAATGCTTCTGTCTAGATTTTATATGAAGATATTCCCGTTTCCAATGAAATCCTCAAAGCTATCCAAATATCCACTTGCAGATTCTACAAAAAGTGTGTTCTCAAATCTGCTCTATCAAAAGAAAGGTTCTACTCCGTTAGTTGAGGACACACATCACGAGTAAGTTTCTGAGAATGCTTCTGTCTGGTTTTTATGGGAAGATATGTCCTTTTTCACCTTAGGCCGGAAAGCGATCCAGATGTCCACTTACAGACACTACCAAAAGAGTGTTACAAAACTGCTCTATCAAAGGTAATGTTCAATTCTGTGACTTGAATGCAAACATCACAAAGAAGTTTCTGAGAATGCTGCTGTCGGCTTTTTATACGTAATCCCGTTTCCAACGAAATCCTAAAAATCTAGCCAAATATCCACTTGCAGACTCCACAAAAAGAGGGTTTCAAAACTGTTCTGTCTAAAGAAATGTTCAACTCTGTTAGTTGAGGACACACATCAGAGACTAGCTTCTGAGAATACTTCTGTCCAGTTGTTAAGGGAAGATATTTCCTTTTTCAACATAGGCCTGAAACTGCTCCAAATGTCCACTTCCAGATACTACAAAAAGAGTGTTTTAAACCTTCTCTACGAAAGGGCATGTTCTCCTCTGTGACTTGAATGGAAACATCCCAGCGAAGTTTCTGAGAATGCTTCTGTCTGGATTTTATCTGAAGACAATCCCGTTTCCAACGAAATCCTCAAAGCTATGCAAATATCCTCCTGCAGATTCTACAAAAAGAGTGTTTCAAAACTGCTCTATGAAAAGAAAGGTTCAACTCTGTTAGTAGAGGGCACACATCACAAACAAGTTGCTGAGAATGCTTCTGTCTAGTTTTTATGGGAAGATATTTCCTTTTTCAACACAAGCCTGAATGCGCTCCAAATGGACACTTCCAGATACGACAAAAGGAGAGTTTCAAACCTGTTCTATGAAAGGGAACGTTCCATTCTGTGACT